>NC_000013.11:71892954-72044469 GCF_000001405.40 Homo sapiens | reverse complement strand
ATTGTCTGGAATGAAATAGATGTTCAGTAAAAGGGAACACTTATTTCCATTGTTTCCATAACGAAGCTTATCACCCCACCTCAACCAAATCTGTTCTTCAATCTTACGTTCCCATTTCAAGTAACTCACTGAACACATCCGGTTGCCCAACTCACCAAGGTGCTTACACCAGAAACATGCAAGTCTTGCTGAATTGTTTTCCTTTCTGCCATCCCACATGTCTTACCAGTTTTATCTATGTGTATTAAATGTTTGTGTTTCTAGCTATATCATTGCTGTTCTAAAGGCACAAAGGGAGAATAAGCATTTCTCAGAAGACATCGGCGGCGGTAACAATAGCATTCATAGTCATTGGGCAACTGAATATCACCCCTGTGTGTGATGCTGGAGTGAGAGAAGAGGGAGTATGGACAAATAATGTGCTATTCTAATAAAGAGGTCCTGACTTTGGGACTCATTTTTATTTTCTTCTTATAATTTTTATGTTACTATCATAAACACCAATATATTTTGTTCCTAGAATTATACTGCTTCCCTTTAATTGTTGGACCAAGGTGGCAAAAGCAAACAAATGAAATCTCCCTTGGTTTTCTTTTGTACTGCCGAGATATTTAATGAGAAACTTACCATATGCTACAAAGGAACAAAAGGAAAATGATTACAGAAAATGCAAACGTCATCATCACAATTACTTTTCCAAATTACAGGGTTTTGATCCCACAATTATTAATGTAGAACCCAAAATACCCGTATAGCTTGTCTTCTCTCTTGGGAGATGCGATCTTATCTAGCAGTCTCCCAGACAGACTGAGTCTTTTCTTCCCCCAATCTAAGGCAAAAATCCAAATTCTGGGGCGACTATTTTGGGTGTCTCCATTCCTTTCCAATTCCTGCTCCTGTAGCTCCTAACTCTGCCAAAAATAATTAGCAGGAAGATTTCTATGACGAATGTGACAAATGGTACTGCTCTTCCTAGCCCAAGAGGAATTCTGAGTCCCTTTATTTGGGCCTTGTACCCTTCATAGTGTGTAAAGCCTCCTCAATGTCTACATATTTCAAAATCTGAATATAACACAGCCTTAAAAATGTAATATTCATAGAACCTAACTAAACAAAGACATATGTAATACACCATCCTTACAAGTGGCCAAAGACCTGCAGCTGGATCATTTCCATGAAAATGTTCTGCAACAAAGTGTGTGTTATAACTATAGTTGAAAGCAGCCTTAAAAACAAGTTGGTCCAATACATTTATCCTAAAAATAAGAGTTCTCAAATTTAAGACCCGGGGTTAGTTCACCTCACCCCTGGACTTCCTACTCTTCTTGCCTTGTGGTTGTATCATGTGTTCAGCATTCAACAGAGAAAGGTGGGCTGCGAGCAGCCCAGATCTGTTGACATTTCAGATTCTTTCAACTACTTTCCTTTCATCATCTCCAATTTTATAGCCTTATTTCTAAATACATATCTTTTATTCCTGAACACTCATTTGCATCCTGGATCTATTTCTCTAACACAGCACTTAATTTTATTTAAGTGTGGTTTTTGCCCTGGCCTTGGGCCACTGCACTGTAGTGCCCTGGTTCTGTGGCCAGTCCTTGTGTCAACCTGCACTGCCAAGCTTGTCACATGTTCAATGTTGCTACACCTCAACTGTGCCTCTTCTCTAAAATGGGGATGACAAGAAATAGGGCCAACCTCATATGATTGTGAGGATGACAAAGAAAAATTATGCAAAACATTGCTTGCGGCTGGGCGCTGTGGCTTATGCCTGTAATCACAGCACTTTGGGAGGCTGAGGCGGGCGGATCACTTGAGGTCAGGAGTTCGAGACGAACCTGGCCAAAACGGTGAAATCCTGTCTCTGCAAAAAAATACAAAAATGAACTGTGTGTGGTGGCAGGCACCTGTAATCCCAGCTGTTTGGGAGGCTGAGGCAGGAAAATCACTGGAACCCAGGAGGCAGAGGTTGCAGTGAGCTGAGATCGTGCCACTGCACTCCAGTCTAGGTGACAGAGTGAGACTGTGTCTCAAATAAATAAATAAAATAAATAAATAAAAATAATAACATTTAAAAAAATAAAATAAAACATCACCTGCTCATACTTGTAATTCTAGCACTTTGGGAGGCTAAGGTGGGAGGATCACTTGAGTTTAGGAGTTCTAGACCAGCCTGGGCAAAAAAATGAGACCTTGTCTCTACTAATAATAAAAAATATTAGCCAGGCATGGTGGTGCATGCCTGTAGTCCCAGCTGCTCAGAAGGCTGAGGCAGGAGGGTCACTTGAGCCTGGAGAATTAAGGCTGCAGTGAACTATGATTGAGCCCCAACACTCCAGCCTGGGTGACAGAGCAAGACCCTGTCTCAATAAAATAAAATGAAAACTTACCTGGTATTCAAAATGTACCATGTATTTATTGAATACTTAAATATTATTGAATATTCAATAAATATCATCTATGAAGCCATTGTGTTTGTATTTACTTTTTAAAAACCAACTTAGAGGTGTGCTTTCTACAGCTGAGAACTTACATCTGTGATCCTTTTTTCCTAAGAAGAATTTTTTAGAATTTTCTTTAGTGAAGAGTTGACAGTGATATACACTCTCATTTTCTTTTTGTTTGTCTAAAAACATCTTTATTTTGCCCTCATATTTTAAAGAAATTTTCACTTGGAATAGATTTCTAGCTTGGCGCTTACTTTCTCTTATCGTGTTGAAAATGTTATTTCAGTCTTCCAACTTGATGCCGTTAAGGTGTTTCTGCTTTGAAAGTCCATATAGGTCTACTTTTTGCTTTTAAGGTACCTCTTGTTTTGGTGTTATGTGGTATCACTGCGACACATCTGGGTGTGTATTTCTTTTTACTCACCCTAGCATTTGTTGAACCTCTTGAAATTTCATCAGTTATGAAAAGTTCTTATGCATGATCTCTTCTTTGCCTCTCTCTCTCTCTCTCATCTTGCAGGAACTCTGATTAGATATACCATAACCCCATTCACTTGATCATTGATGCCTTTTAACTTCTCTTTCATATTTTCCTCCTTTCTGTCTCTGTACTACGTTCTGAATAATTTCTTTTGACTTACTTTCCATTCCACCACGTTTCCTCTCCTTCTGTATCTAATCTGCTTTTATACTTAATCATTGGGTTTGCACTTTCAATTATTATATCTTATTTCTATGAGTTCTGTTTGGTCCTTTTTTTCAGTCTTCTAGTTCAGGGTTTGTTGTTGTTTAGTTTACTGTTCCCTGTAGATATTTGATATTTGAACAACTTTCTTTTTCAAGTGTTATAACAATAATTATTACAATGTAAGAAATCTTTGTGGGATTCAGTCTGTTATCTGTATTTCTTCCCGTTGATTCTAATTTCAGTGTTGTGTTGCCTGTATTACGTGATCTTTTATGGGGAGTCGTTTTATTGAAAAATCATTGTGAAGATTCTTTGAAGCCTTCAATAAAGATTTATTCCCCCATAGAAGAGGCTTTTGTTTGTTTGTTTTTTCTGAGGCATCCATAGATACTACCAGTAAAGTTCATTTAAGCAAAATTTACGCTTTGAGTTTTTTAGACTACTAGATGTGTGGTGGCTTTAAACTTCAAACCCCCTTGATGGCTGGTTTGTAATTATACATTCTAAGCAATAGATCCTCCCCTCTAGCCATGATCTACTCATCCGCAAAGTAACTTTCCTTGTCTCCTAGGAGGAGTTTCTTTTAGGTTTACCTTATGCCCTGAGATAGGGGCCCAGGTTTGCCAGGTGAAGGCCTTCTTTTAGAACATCACCTTGGGAGAGCCTTGAGTTTTGATGTTTGGCCTATGTGCAAGAGGCTGTGAAAAATCACAATTCATGTTTCTCCCTGGACAAAAATGTCCATAGGGCAAAAGGAAGTGAATGATGCCGAAAATGACGATGATTGTGGTGGGGATGGTGGTGCAGTGGTGTGTGTGGGAAGGACAGGGAAGGAGGCGCTGCCTATCTGGGTTCTTGCTTTCACTTCTTTTTGCCCTGATAGTTCTTTACAATTTTGTCACCTTTTCAACAATTTAAAGTTTAAAATTATATATAAATATATATAATCCAGGCATTTTATTTGTTTACCAGGAAGGAGAGTTGGTATCATCCAGGAGGGAAAACTCCAGGTTATCAAATTTTAGGACACATTCATCATAGAAAGTACTAGTGACAATAATCAAATATCTCTTAGAATTTTTACTAGATATTTGAATTTTTCACTTTTATTTTTGCCAAGCCTAGCTTATTGTAAGCATTTAACAAACATCTGTTGGCTAAAATCATTTACTAATTTATATACTCAGTTATAATTACATTATGTAGCTTTCTTAAAAGTGCCATACCTTTGGAAGTATGTTCTTGGAGAGGTTACTAAACAGGATCAAATTAAGACATTTAGAGACCTAAACACTGAAAAAAATGTAGGTGCCCTCTTCTAGTGGAACATCAAATAAAAATAATTCTAAGCCATTAAAATAACTCTGAGGACTACCTCAGTGCATTTAAAGAAAAAGAAAAAATAATGTTAAACTTTTTGTAATAATTTTCCTTGGAATTCTTTCCTTGGATGTGCTAAAGCACATGCTCATTTTTCCTACTGTGTTTCAGGCTTTCAAAATAAGCCCTACTATTAGCAACCACTTTCTAAAATAATTTGTTCACATGCACACTCATTCCTTTGCTCTGTACACTCTTCATTCTTCACCAGCTTTGACCTTGGCTTCCCAATGTTGTAGCTGGAATCTTTCAGGTAGCCCACGTATTTTGATGTCTCTAATTTGCTTTCCAGTATTCTGATTCTGGTCATGTCCTGACTTTCCAAACCTAGTTTTGTCTTTCATATTAACTGCCAACTATTCCTTGATGTTGTGTTTCCTGATCCCAGTTTAGAACTAACACTATTCTAGTATTGGCTAAATTTGAAAATCAACAACAAATCAAAGCGATGTCTTTGTGAAGTTAGTACATTGCCACTGTCTACTGATTAAAACATTTCATGGCATGGATTGCCAACATGAAGATGTTTTCTGGGTATTTAAGAATTTATTGACTTCTGCGCTTCTGTTACCACATTAAGATGGAAATTGAATTTGGCAGCGACTGCTTTTGCTTGCTCAGCTTTTTAGAAATCCTTGTGGTAGCAGTGGGACTGTCAAGTTCAGTCTTTCCTTCTCCCAGTTTCAGTTGAGGGATAAGCCAATCAAACTCTCTTTCTCAGGAATCTGAATCTCTAATGAAGTTACAAATGATAAAATGTATTCTATCACCAGCTTGTAGATGAAATCATCCATGTGTTCCTGCCTGAAATTTCCAAAGCTGCTTGTCTAATTATTTACAATACGCAGTTTTAGTTGTTCAACTTTTCCTTTAAATATACAAGCTACCAAGTATCTTTACAATACAGTCCTTTTTGCGGCATGCAACCAAAGAATTTTCACTGAAACAAAAACTTTTTCATTAATTTTTACCACTGACATATCTCTTTCAAGTGTCAGAGCTATGCTTAATCCCCAAATGCCAATGAGCATTGAGAATAGTGTCACATTCAGGATGGGTCAATATGTATATTGACAAGGGAGATTTTGTAGTTCTCTCAGGAGTCAAGAAGTTTCAAGATCACTGCTACACATTATCTATGTAATTTATACATAAACAATGATCAGAAGTCTCTTTGGGAATCTTTCTCTACAGATAATGTTGCATTCCTAATTGTATAATCATTCATGCAATTATGAATTTATCTATACCTGGTACATTGCAATATTTCTCTGCTTTGGAAAGTTGTGCCCTACCTACAGTATGCAAAATTATTTTATTATCAATAAGCATATAAACAATAGAAGTAATCATGATGGAAAAGATCAGCGATGTAATTCAAAAATTTTAAATTCTGGACATAGAAAACATGGAAACTTTTTGATTTAGCAATTCTTCTTTTGGAAATGTAGTCTCTGCACATATTTCCAAATATGAAAGTTCGTTGAATTATTAGGCTGAGTTGGCACATAACCTAAATATTCAGTGATAAGGAGGGTGATATAGTTATTCAATGGAGTATTGCACAGCCACTCAAAATGCTCAGGTTCTGTCATAGAAGTTGCGAGGAGAGCTGGAGTTCCATCCTAACCTAATCACTTTCTTGAGAAATCTTTGGCAAGTTACTTGACCAATCTGTGCCTCAATGCCTTCATTTGTAAAATGTTCATAATAATAACACATATAATATTACCATGAGATCTAAATGTGTTACTACTGTATACATAAAATTCTTATAATGATGCCCAGAAAAAGCACCATTAAGACAGACACAAATTCTGTGATCTTAACTTTGTTTTAAAAAGAAATGGAATACATTCAAAACCCTAGAGCAAGCTTTTCCAGCCCACAGCCCGTGGACCACATGCAGCCTAGGATGGCTTTGAATGTGGCCCAACACAAATTCATAAACTTTCTTAAAACATGAAGAGATGTTTTTGCGATTTTTTTTTAAGCTCATCAACTATCATTAGTGTTAGTGTTTTGTGTGTGGCCCAAGACAATTTTTCTTCCAACATGGCCCAGGGAAGCCAAAAGATTAGACATCCCTGCCCTAGAGAGATTCATTAAGGTGTAACAATTATTTAACGGGATAGTGGAATTACAGCTGACTTTTTTCTATCAGATTTCTTTTTTTTTTTTGAATGACATTTTACAATGAAAAAGGATGCCTCAAAAATAATACTTATCTGAGTCACTTTTTATACAAATCAAATCATCCAATTAACTGTGCAAAATTACATGTATGCACATGTAGCTTTATTGGGAGTTAAGAGGGCCTCATTTAGAGAAACTTAGAATTCAATTCATCCATAGATGTTTCTTTCAAGAAAATAGTTTTTTATGGAAAAATCGCATTGTTATTATTCCCAAAGAAATAATGTCCTTTTATATGTTCACATGTAGGCATTGGCTAAAATCAAAGTTTGATGACTTTACATTAATTTTAATACAGAAAACATATTAAAGGATTATAGCACAAACCAGGCTACTCAGTACAATCTAATGACAGTCACACTTTCTTGGGAAGGGACCAATCATCCTTGGTCAAGATCCATGTTAATTTCAGAGAAGCTTTTAGGGGAAAGATTTTCTGATTTGGAAAACACTTCTAAAGAACTTAAAGTGCTCCCAGGTCTATTTGAAACCTCATTTGCAATGATCAGAGCTGTGTACCAGCTATACTATGATTTCTGATAATGGGTTCTGCATTAATTTCTGTTGTTTCAGGAGTTTATGTAGATAAAACTCATCTAGGCTTGTCAGTCTTATCACACTGAGATGGTAAGAGAGTTAGATGTAGACTTACTGGAATGCCTAAAGATGGGCTATAGGAGGAGAAGGCCCTACCCAACTTACCCAGTAAAAATACCTATCACTTAATGAGTGCTTAAAAGGTGGCTGATATCCTTCCTAGTGTGATTAGTTTGAAGTTAAAACTCCCAATGAAGCTGTTACTAATTTTCTTTGTTTAAATCTGTATTGTCCCCAAGAAGACTAAGAAGAAAGGCACAAACAGTGATTTTTTTCAAAGGTTGTTTGTTCCTTCCCTGTATCTCTTTTCACACAGAAACATCAATAAAAAGAGATGGCGATCAGGTAGTAGAGAACCTTCTCTTCTGATCCTTGGCTCAAGGGCAAGGATTCCCATTGAGTAAAGGGGCTATTTGAGAGCTGGCTGGGAGGCAGACAGTGCTGACCACCAGGCCTCTGTAATGTAATCTAGTTCTAGAGGACAGGACAGTGCAGGATTCCATTCTGATGTGCAGGCTGGAACCCAGGAATCTTACCTTACATTGCCCACCCTTTTCTCCTTGTGCCTCAGATCTTTTGTGAATCTGCCTACTAGCCCATTCCCTTCTGGGGGGTGAAATATAGGAGAAACCACTAAGGTTTATTATATTCCTAAGAATATGATCCTGCTCTTTTGTTTTTGGTCTTACCCCACCCCTGTCCTGTAAGTAACCCATCTTTTCACCATAGAATTTCATCCCGTCATGTCGATTGACATCTAAGTATAGACCAGACTCCTAAATATCAGCTGCTCCTCTAGATTTCCAATAGTGTCACTGGCTCACCAACCCCCATTTCTGAGATCATTTTTTGTAATTTCAGTTGTTTTCTGTGAACAATGCCTGGACAATGCTATTCCAATTGAATAACTTGCTTTTATACTAAATAGGTCTACATTTTTCAGCCCTTCAATTTAGGTCATTCACCCCTTCTGTCTTTCTGTCCTACCAAGCTGATCTATGGTAGCATCTTAGCCCTTCCATGGTAACTTGCAATCAGTTAAACTTCAAATCCTGAAGCCTGCATTTCATATTATAACACATGTAAAGCAGAATTTTGCAATAAGTTCCTAAAACTGAACTTAGGGCTGTGTGTTGTATTATGGCTCATGACCCTGTGACCCCAGCACTTTGGGAAGCCATGGCCAGAGGATCACTTGAGGCCATGAGTTCAAGGCTGCAGTGGGCTGTGATCACACCATTGCACTTGAGCCTGAGTGACAGAGCAAGACCCTGCTCTAAAAGAATAACAATAAAATAAAATGAAATAAAAATAATAAAAATTGAACTTCGTATGTCTCAATAGTTTCTCTTGAATCCATCCCTTCAATTGTCAATAAACTGCATTACTGAGGAAATTATTTGGATGATTGATTATATATCTTTTAACTGTGTTAATTTCTTAATATCTATAAATAAAGAAATGTTTAAAAAATATGCATAACAGCTTCTGAAGTAGTCATGCTTTTTGTAAATCAGAATAGAATTATTGAAATATGTGCATGTAATTTAGATAACATACATCATAGTAAATTAAATATATTTATTATAGGAAATACTGAGTTATTTTCTATGCTTCAGAAGAAATTTGTTAATTGATTTCCACTTAGCTAATTTCCAAGCAACAGAATTAATGCTGGCTAATTTAAAGAGAAAAGCAATTTATTGGAAGGATATCAGATAAAACCCTGAATAGCCAGGCTGGGCAAACATATAGAGAAAAGGGAGCTAGAGAGCCAATTTAACTAAGCCAGGATAATATTTCAGGCATTTGGAACTCTGGACATTCTGCTGCTGGACATTCATGGAGACACTGATGTTCAAAACCATATGCATCTTTTATTCCCAGGCTCCAAACACTGCAATCTTTAAGTAATTTCCCAGTTGTCCTCAGTCTTATTATCATTCCCCGAAAAGCCAAAGCCCTGAGAGGGAGGGATGGATGATCTGCTTCTGGGTCACTTTGGCCTGGCTCTTAGTAGATAAACAGAAACTGGAGCTTCCTCTTTGGTTTTCATAGGGAGAGGTAAAAGGAAGGACATTGCCTTTCACCAATACTCCCACAAAGGCTTTTCCCACAACTGTGAAAATCATCTGAATGCTGACCTACAAAAAAAGGTGGATTTGCATTCAAGTAATTACATTTAGTCCATTTCTTTTCCTTTCAGAATAAATGTTCCCACTTTATATCCAAGAGACTTAATTTTGAAAAGTCATAATTATAAATTTTTTAATGTTTCCATATTAGTTCTTTAGGTAGAAAAGAATGAACTTTACATACTACATACTGAAAAGGAAATATAGGGGACAAATGAGTTTGCAAATCTATTTCCAGAACAACCTATAAAAGAGAATATGAGAGAAATTCTTCTATTAATGGCTATTAAGTAATTCAGATCACACTTACTAGGAAAAAAACACTTAAAAAATTTATTTGAAAGCATCAGAGAAGTTATAAGATAGTGGGGGGAGGGGAAGCAGATGAAAACCAAAGAAAGAACAGAGGCCTGAGGTAGGGGATGATACTGCGGGGTCACATTTGCTCAGAGTGTACTTGGGAATCAGCAGGGGCTGATTTGAGGCTGAAAAACCGAGTAATAGGTTTGATAGACTGTAGAGCTGAGAGGCAGGATTCAAGTGTAGAGTCTGTCAAATACAGAGCCTGGATAAACCATCATCATGTTGAGGTGAGACTCTCAAAAGGCATAATCTGGTAGCATAGATTAACCAAAGAGATAGGATGTGGTTCAGCTTCAAATTATTTCAATCCAAGAAATTGGCTTAAAATGATCCAGATAGTTGTCACATGTTGTTTACTAAATTAAACATAAATGCTCTCTGGAGAACTCTCCTAGATTTCAGGATATTTCTATGTCTAATATTTTGCAAATGTAATGTTTGCCACAGAATAAAAAGTAACAAGGCACACAAGGAGGCAAGACATTATGAATTAAAACTAGCAGAAAAAAGAAATAATAAAATTAGCTCTATGTGGTCTCATGAGAAACAGAATGGATAGAAAAGTAGGAATCACTATGATTATTTAAGCTCAATTATATCAGTAAATTACATTAATTATATATAATCTAAATCATCTTATTAAAGATAAAAACAGTCATACTGGACCAATAACAAAACCCAACTACATGCTACTTACAAATACACGCCTGAAATAAAATCACAAAAACTGTTTGAAAACAAAATATGGAAAAGACATGTGGTGCAGAATCCAAATGAAAGCTGTAGTAGCTGTATTAATATCAGACAAAGCAGGCTTCTAAAAACTTGATAATAATATAGAGAGGCACTTCATAATGACAACATTTTCAAGTCACTAGGAAGATACAACATTTTTTATGAATCTAGTAATGTAGCCTTAAGCCAAAATTAATTAAATACAATCAGAAACAGAAAAATCCAAAATTATGAGGGATTTTTAACAAAATTCAGTAACTGATTTAACAAACAGGCATATATTGGTAAGGATAGGCAAAGTTTAGGCCATTAAACAATAAGATTAGCAAACTTGGCCTAATGTAATATCTATATAACCTTGCATCTAACATCTGCAGAAAATACCTTCTTTTCAGGCATATGGAAAATTTTTTCAAATTGACCACAATCTGGTAATAAAGGAAATCTCAGCAAACATTCAATTTGTCCTCTGAACACAGTAAAAATAATCTACAAATCAATTTTTAACAAAAAGTAACTAGAATATTTCATATGTTCAGAAATTAAGAAATATTCTTTTAACAAATTCTATGAATTTATGGAATTAAAATGTCTGCTATCATTGTCTCTATTCCACATAGTTCTAGAGATTTTCATCAGGGAAATCAAGCCAGAAAAAGAAATAAAATGTAAATGATGTAGAGAGAATGACATAAAATTGTCATTATTTTTATATGATGATTGTATTTTTAGAAAATCTAAAAGAATATGAAGATAAATTATTAGAATTAATAAATGAGTTGAGCAAGAAAGTCATGTAAAAAATCAATTGAATTGCTATAAATCAACAAAAATGGAATATAAAAGTTTAAAATATAGATGTGATTTATATACTTTTGAATACCTAGGAACAAAATATGTGTAAGACCCTTATACAGAAAACTATAAATATTATTAGAGAAATTATATGGAGGGATATTCTCTCTCTAGACCCTTACTGCCCAAAATGTGGTCTACTGATTAGCAGCATCAGCATGTTTAAGAGCTTCTAAGAAATTCAGAACCCTGGGCTCCATTCCAGATCTACTGAATCTGAAACTATATTTTTTCAAGATCCTGTAATGAAAACACAGCAAAGTTTGCTGCCTAGGCATTAGAGGTAGAATACTGCACCCAAAAGGCTCAAGCCAGTGGCCAGACATAAGAACTTGGAAGTAGCTCTTCTGCCTTGCAGGCTGGGCTCTCTGCTTGTCCAGCGCTTCCTTTAGATGGACAATTTTGACATTTGCCCAAGAACTTAAAGTAACCCACACCCTATTCCCTTCTGTATGCGGGTAGTTTCCATGTGCACTCGCTCTCTCTCTCTCTCCCTCTCTCTCTCTCTGCTGACTTTTTATTCCTGCTTTGTTTGACCTGGGGAAGAAGGACTGCTTTCCCAACTCATTGTGCCCTCCCTGCTTAGGATTGTAAGTAAAAATCTTTGAACTGTTTTCAATTGTGGTGGTGTACTGAATTTGTGTCCTCCATTTGAATAACCAGGCTCCCCCAGGCCAGATTTTCCAAGGGAATCTGGTTGGAGGTGGACACAAGGTCAGGATCCTCATGCCAGAGCAGTGGTCCCATATGGGCTCTATCTCATAGGTTTTGGTATGTTGCGTTTCCATTTTTGTCTCAATATATTTTTTAATGTTCCTTTTAATTTCCTCATTGGCTCATTGATTGTTTAGGGACATGTTGTTTAATATCCATGTATTTGTGAATTTTCCAAGGTTCCTTCTGTTATTAATTTCTAGTTTTATACCATTATGGTCAGAAAAGATAGTTGATATGATTTGTCTTCTTAAATTTGTTAGGACTTGTTTTGTAGCCTAACATCTATCTATTACTGAAAGTGAGGTGTTGAAGTCCCTACTATTATTGTATTGCAGTCTATCTCTCTCTTCAGAACTATTAATATTTGCTTTATATATTTAGGTACTCTGATGTTGCATGCATAATATTTACATATTATAACATATATATCTTATATATATGTTATATCCTCTTGCTGAATTGATACATTTATCATTATCTAATGATATTGTCTCTTTTTAACATTTTTGACTTAAAGTCTATTTTATCTCATGTAAGTTTAGCTGTTACTGTTCTGTTTTGGTTTGCATTTGCATGAATTATCTTTCTCCATCTTTTCACTTTCAGTTTATGTGTGCCCTTACAGGTGAAGTGAGTCTCTTGCAGGTAGCATAGAGTTGAGTCTTGTTTTTTTTTAACAATTTAGCCATTCTAGGTCGTTTGATTGGTTGGAGTATTTAATCAATTTCTATTCAAGTTAAGCAGTACTTGCTACTGCTATTTTGTTAATTGTTTTCTAGCTGTTTTGTAGCTCTTTTGTTCCTTTCTTTCTCTCTTGATGTTTCTGTTTTTGATTAAGTGATTTTTCTCTGGTGATGTGCTTTGATTCCTTGCTCTTTATTTTTTGTGTATCATCTATAGGTTTTTGCTTTGTGGTTAGCATGAGGCTATAAAAATATCTTATTATAATAACATGTTATTTAAAGCTCACAACTTAACTTTGATTGCAAAAAAATAAAAAGTACACTTTTACTATTTTGAATTTGTTTTCTTTTTTTTTTTTCTTTTTTTATAGAGACAGGGTTCTCACCCTGTTGCCACCCAGGCTGGAGTGTAGTGGAATCTCAGACTCCTAGGGTTAAGCAATCCTCCCACCTCAGCCTCCCAAGTAGCCAGGACTATAGGCATGTACCACTATTCCCAGCTAATTTATTGATTTTTTGGTTTAGACAGGGTCTTCCTATGTTACCCAGGCTGGCTTCAAACTCTTGGCTTTGAGTGATCCTGCTTCCTCAACTTCACAAAGCACTGGAATTACAGGTATGAGCCGCTACATCTGGTCTCATTTTGAATTTTTGATAGCACAATTTAAATCTTTTAATTTTGCATATTTCTTTACAAATTTTATAGCTAATATTACTTAGTTTTTACTTTTAATCTACATACTAAAGATTTCAGTGAGTTACACATCACCATTATAGTATTAGAGTATTCTGAATTTGTGTACTTTTATCAGTGAGTTTTATACTCTCAAATGTTTTCATGTTACTCATTGGCATCCTCTTCTTTCAGCTTGAAGAACTCCCTTTAGCACTTATTTGAAAGATAATTCTGGTGGTGATAAACTCCCTCCGCCTTTGTTTGTCTTGAAATTCTTTATATATTCTTATTTCTAAAGGATAGCTTTGTTACATACAATACCCTTTGTTAAGAGTTTTTTATCTTTAGCACTTTGAACAAATCATCCCATTATCTTCTGTTCTATAAGTTTCTTCTGCCAGCCATACTGGAACTTTCTTATATGTTATTTGCTGCTTTTGCTGCTTTCAGAATCCTCTCTTTTGTCTTTGATTTTTACAGTTTTATTATATTATATCTTAGGGTAGCCTTATTTGGAATAGCTGTGATTGGAGGCCTTTGAATTTTTTTGTACATGGATATTTACATCTTTCTCCAGGTTTGGACAGTTTTCTAACTAGAATTTCTTCAAACAAGCTTTCTACTCCTTTATTTTTATTTTCCTCTTGAACTCCTGACTCAAAATTTACTCTTTAGATACTGTCTCATAAATCCCATTAGCTTTTCTTATTCCTTTTCATTCTTTTTTCTCCTTTGACTGTATATTTCCAAATAACCTTTCTTCGAGTTTACATACTTCCTTTTGCTTGTTCAATTCTGCTGTTGATGCCCTCTATTGCATTTTTTATATTGTTCATTGTATTTTTCAGCTCCAGGATCTCCGTTTTATTTTTTATTTCAATCTCTCTGTTAAATTTTGTATTCTAGTCACATATTATTTTTCTCGTTTTGTTGAATTGTTTCCTGTGTATTTTCTTAAAGTTCATGGAGTTTTCTTAAACAGAGCTATGTGAACCCTTTGTCCAGCAGTTCATACATCTCTTTGTCTTTAGGGTGGGTCACTAGCACCTTATTTTTTTTTGATTTGGTAATGCCATATTACCCTGATTGTTCTTGATCCTTGTAGTTGTGTGTCAAGTGTCTGCACATTTGAAGAAGTGCTTATTCCTGTATTCACAGACTGGCTTTGTTTGGGAAAGCACTGGGGAAAGTATAGTACTTGGGCTTTCCAGATGCCTGGAGCAGCTGTAGCCATTGCAGAGCTGTCAGAATCCTGGGCCCACTAAAGCAGGTGCAGCACTGGGGCAAGGCAGAAGCCTGAGGCCCACCGTGGCTGATGAACCATGAAGCCTGGGGCCTCTGTGGGCTGCCTGCTGCTGAAGATTGTCCAGGGCCCAGGGCCACTACATTTTGCCTGGCAGTGGTATGGAATTGGCTCACAATTCCTTTGTCTCTAGATATAACTCCTTATTCTAGAGTTACTTAAATGTTCCAAAGTTTTAAAAATACTGATGCCTGGGTCCTACCTGCAGCATTTGGATTTAATTGGTCTAGGGTGCAGCCTGAGAACTGAGATTGATAAAGACTCTTGAGGGCTGAAGATCAATTCATAATGTAAGCCTGAAGCGTAGGGCTGTGTGGTTCTGTCTTGTGCCATGGCATGCCTAGGGGCTCAGTCAATGGTACTGGCCTGAAATATGGGGCTGTGGGGGGTCTGAGTAGTGCTGGGGTTTACTGTGATAGGTATAGTGTTGGAGTCCAAGACAGAGCCTTATGCTCATTTCCCTCGTTTTACCCCAAGTGGATGGTATCTCTCTTCTTGCTGTGCTGCCTGGGTTTGGGGGATGGGAGAGATACGTAATATAAAACATTTTTATTTCCCTCTTCAGTGCATTTTTTCTTATTGTTGTGTTACAATCAGGTACTGTGGTCTCCCACTTGGTTTCCTTCGCTCTTGTAAAGATATTTTCATGCATAGATAAGTTGTTCAAACTGATGTTTCTGCTGGGGGATGATCACTGGGGAGTATACTCTACCATTTCGCTCTGCCCCTTCAGGTCATTTTAGCATCAGCATTTCTAATTAAATATTGTACTCTTTAGTTCCTATGAATATTTGGTTGACTGTCAACTTTCTTCAGAACATTTATAAATATAACCCCTACTATCAAACATTTTTCAAGTTGGTTTTAGTATAGTTTATGAAAAACCCTTTGTTACATGCTGGAATGTGAAAGGCTAAGTCAGTAGTTCCCAAACTTGTCTGCACATTGAAACAACCTGGGGAGCTTCACGAACTACTCATGCCCTAGAGATTTAATTGGTCTAGGGTGCAGCCTGGGCTTTGAAATTTTTAAGCAATCTCCAGGTGATTTTAATGTGCAAACAAGTTTGAGAACCACCGGCCTACATTATTTAATACAGGTGTTCTGAATTTCCTTGGCTCTAATCTGTATTTAGAAACCAAATGTCTTAAAATGATCACCTACATTTAGGGTGCATATTTATTACTTTGTACATTCTTCTCAGGAAACCAAAAAAATTCTAGCTTAGGTCACTGTGATGATTAATTTTATAAATCAAATTGGCACGGCCATGGTACTCAGATTTTTGGACAAACACTACTCTAGATTTTTTTGTGAATGTATTTTTTAGATGAGATTACCATTTAAATCAGTAAACTTTAAATAAAGTAGATTCTATTATATGGGAGGGCCTCATCCAATCAGCTGATGGGTTTAGGAGAAAAAGGACTGACCTCTCCAGAGGAAGAAGGGATTCTGCTTCCAGAGTACCTTCAAACTCGAGCTGCATCAGCTGTTTCTTTTGTCCTCTTGCCTGCCAGCCTTCCTACCCTGAAGACTTTCAACTTGTCAGCCTTCACATTTTTGTGAGCCAATTGCTTAAAATAAATCTATCTATATCTTTATCTATATATCTTCTATATCTACGATCTCCTATTGGTTGTGATTCTCTAGAGAACCCTGACCAATACAGTCTTTAATGACATCTGTGCTGCTAAATCCATTTTCGGTTCTCACCTTTCTTGACCTTTCAGCAGCATTTTACCCTACTGATGGCTCTCTCTCCAATTACTCTTTTTCCTTTGTCTCTCAATTTCAGTGCTTAGTCTCTAGTTACTTAAATGTACCAGGTTTTAAAAATACTGATGCCTGGGTGCTACCTCCAGCATTCGGATTTAGTGGGTCTAGGGTGCAGCCTGAGAAGCGAGATAGATAAAAGCTCCTTAGGTGATTAAATGTTTAGAGCTAAGTTTCAGAATCACTGATCTACAACCCCATGAAGACTGACTCTGTCCTGGGTGGATCTACCTCCCGTTATTCACAGGGAGTCCTCATTACTTTCTCTTCTTTTCATGCTGCATCTTTCCCTGGGCTCCAGGAAAATATCTATTTACAGCTTTCATGACTAAAACTTATTCCCAATCCAAAGGTCATTTACCTCTGAAATATCATGTGAAATTCCATTCCCTCTTTGTTAGAGAAGGGAGCAATATTGGGAAAGGACCTAGTTGTCCTCTAATTGCTCTTACTAGGCTCTGGGCAGGAAAAGTGAATGCCTCTTGTCTTCTTTTTTATACAATCCAGCTACCACTTCTACCCCAGGTGAAGCTACCACATCATCCATGCGTGCTGAAGGCTTACTTTCAATTTTTCCAATGCAGAAGGTAAGAGATCAAAATCTTTACTCTTAACTAAACAGGGTCAAAAAGGCAATAGACATTATTTTTAGAACATTGTTTTTGAAAAGAAGATGATAGAATGCATTATAATGCAGCTCTTTAATACATGGGATTTACGTGTGCTGAAGGTCAAATGATATGTTCTGAAGCTACTGAAAGCCAGTAAGACTGCTAGTAGATCAGTTATTTCAGTTCCCTCAGTACAGCTTTATTGTGTTTTTGCTTTATTTGTGTGGTACAGTGTGCTTTGTTATTATCCTTAGGGTTCTGATTGCTGTTATTTTCATCTTTTCAATTTGCAAAATACACTAAAATAAAAAACTTAATGCTGAAACTAATTTTTTATCTAAACCCACACACTAGCCAGATGTATTCTGTCACACCATGCTAGTATATGCTGTTTGATGTTGTGTATCATAGTATTTTTTAAATTGTTCACATATTGAATTTAAATTTATGCAGTAAAAGAAAGTAGAGAAAATGCTCTCTTAGTTTGCTTTTTTGCTGCTATTTATCCATATCACTTTTTTATTTAAATGGCAAATCTCCAATTTTGAGGTTTTATGTGAGTGCCTGAAATCCAAGCAGGGTGAGTGGTTTTATTTTCATTGTTTGGGAAACAAAAATGTACCTCTGATAATTTTTGTCTTTGATTACTGCTTCTTCAAAGGATTTAAACCAGAATGAAAGCCTTTGAAATCTTCAGAGATGAGGAGACATGAGAGTTATTCTGTATGCACTAGATAAACAGATGTCTTAGCTTTTCAAACCAAACCTGAAAAATATAATCTCAAGCTTCATCAGAAACAGAACACTTTTTGCAGGTGTATTATGTTTTATATTTTACTAATGTGAAATGGAAAAAATAATGTCATTTTATTCCTTTTTCTTGTCTAAGAATTTAGTTCCAATTAACATTTCAGAAAACTTTTTGTTTAATATCTCGGGAAGCAAGATATATCTCATAAGAGGGAAAAATTCTCTTCTTGTCATTTTGGATACCAATAAGTACCATTAGAAACATATCTAAAAGTTGCTTGGGAAACTGAGAACCTAATTGAGAAATTCCAAATTAATAAAAGCCAAATTTCATTCATTTACTCAATAGACCAAATCTCGTAATCAAATTCATTCTGAAACACCCATTGACCTCAATGTGAGGTTCTCATATGAGATAATTGTAGAATTAAACTCAATGCTTAGAAAAACACACACACACACTAATAGACTTTGCACTGTGGTTACTGGTGGCCTGGACTGGGTAACCTGCTCTTTGGATGTCAATGGCATAGTTGCTCACTGAATCACAGCAGCACAGAAATGGACCTAATGATGCAAAGAAACAAATAATCTTTATCCATTATGCTTTCAGCCTTCCCAAGATAAAAATACTTCTCACTTACATACTTATGAGGTTAAAAGAGAAAAAGAGAATCATGCTGTCCACTGACTAGATAGAATGTATCCTTGTGCCATAAACATGGGTAATTTTTAAGTTTAAATCTTAAGTGACAACTCTCAATAATACCATAACTTGCAATTCAAATACCTTATTAAATGTCCACTTTTTTCAAGCCATTCTTTGAAAGCACTGTCAATTGCTACACCATCGAATAAACTGTAATTATTTTGATGAAGGTGAAAAAGAAAAATGGGGCCAACTTGCTTAAATGTATCCTTTAAGGGACAGATTTCCGTTTTTTTTTTTTTTCCAACACCATATCTGAGCTTTAGTCCTTGTTTGATTGGAACTGTAAAATAAACCTGAAGATATCAATTTGGAAAATTGAAAACAGTGAATGAGATAAATTCTAACATTGGCAAAAATGTGCTGCAGATAATCAAATTGGTCCTCAAAAACTGCCTTGTAGATTGTTAAAATTCTAAAGGGACTTTACACATAACTTAGTACTGTACATTCCCTTTATTTTAACCAGTGAGGAAACTGATATTTAACAAGGGGTTCAATGACTTACAAAAGGTCTCTATTCCTTAGGGGTGGTTTCTGGCTCTTTTCAGCTCCCCTGATGCACTACAAAGGGTTGACGCCCCTGGGTGTCAATAAGAACAGTTGCCACTAATATAGCTGCCATTCATTCAGTTACCACACCAGGCCCTGAAGCATCCATCTCCTCTGATCCCTCTTCAATCCAACAGGTAGATCAATGTGATTTCAGAGGCGAAGGAGAGGCACCCCTACCTCTTCTTCCCCAATTTATCTCCCTGTTAGCAAGTGCCGATTACAGTAGTGACCCTCTTCAAATTCATTGACATGGTTTACTTGGAAACCAAAATGTGTATGTGGTTAAGTTGTACCGACCAGTATAAATTATTATAAACCAGGCTTGAAAGTCAATATTTAAGTCTAAATATGCTCATTGTGATTTCTACTTTTCTGCCATGGATGAGATAATCATAAGTCCCTAGGAACAGATTGATTTCTATTTTACTTTCATTTACTGAAGTGAAATAGCCAAAAATGAAAATGTAAGACATTTCATATACAGTGAGCAGAAAGGAACTTTAAGATGTGCTTTTATATGACATTGTTTAGATTTTGTTTAACTATTAGTGTTAATAATAACTATTAGTCTACCATTGCGTCTCAGCTAGGTGTTGTGCCAGACCCTTCACATTCATTCTTTCTAATCCTTACACCAAACTGCAAGGTGACTATTATTATTCCCATGTGAGATATGAAGTAGCTACGTCTAAAAAGCAGTATAATGTGAAAAGAGCCCCTTGCATTAACTGGGTGCTTTATTTTTCTGAACTCAAGTCAATGTTTATTTCAAACGCCATTCTGCTCTGTGGTGGAAATATTAATTCAATCAATTCCAAGTAAACAGTAAGTCTAGGGTCTGTTCCTTTGTTATTTTGTTTCACCTGTAACTGGGATTTTCTCCAACCTCACTTCCCTTCATATTTGCATTGAAGTTCCAAGGGTTTTCATAGAATCAAAGCTTACTAAAGTTATCTTTCTACATTTGCATCTGCTGAACTCTCTTGTCAGGTTCTAACTGAGGTCCAAGGGGAGTCAGTTGGCGAGCAGCAGATAGCTGGAAAAACACTCAAGGAATCATAGACAGTTTTGACATGGCTTTACTCTGTCTCTCTGAGTGTGAGTGAGCCTGGGCATGAGCCATATGTACAGCGTTAGCAGGATAATTATACCTTTTACAGACAATAGTGGTTCCGAGCCAAGCAAGAGCTCACATGGGTGATCACCTAATGTACCTCCCGTGGTGTGGTTACATAGTGTGCGGGGTTGGGTGCCTGTGCTCCAAACCCACTGAGTCATGCTGTGCTGGAAGGCCATTTTGACCTACTCCTGACTAAAGTGCAGCCATTTCCCCTACACTCCACCTACTAGGCTGAGGGCATCTTCCGAGTAGGGACACTTGTCCATAGTGCAGAGCCCTGAATCCATAACCAACAACAACAATACAGAGGCAACAGCTCACTCCTAGGATCCCAGCTATGCTACTTATGACTATTAGGGCTTAGCATATGCCAGAGCCCAGGGATGCCCACCATCTCTGCAGGGTGTCATCAGTAAGGCTCTCAACCACCTTAATCTCCCATGAGACCCCTTGTAGGGCTGCTGTTATGTTCTGCTGATTGTCAGGGATAAAGGTACAACATTGTATTCCTAAAAGAGTGAAGTTCCTAAAATAACTGCTCCTTGGGCAGCAGTTATTATGTCTAAGGCCCTTTGGTTTTGCACCACCTTTCTGATCTAATGAACCTCATCCGTTAACAGGAGGAGGGCCACTCGGGTGTAATTCAGACCCCAAGCGGTGTGCACTGCAAGAGCAGTAACTTGTGCTTATATAGTATGACACCGACTCCAGGGGTAGTCATTGCCAAGGGGTAGAACCACCAGTGAGCTCATCACACTCACGAAAACTGAGAGCACAGCTCCTCCTGGTTACGCAGGTGTCTGGTCAAGGTGGGGAGAAGAGTGGCAGGTACATAAGGTCACCCCCAGGTACAACGTGTAGTCCAGTCCACTGGGAGGTAAGGTCACCCCCAGGTACAACGTGTAGTCCAGTCCACTGGGAGGTAAGGCCACCCTGTGTCCCCACAGACCCATAAACAACCAGGAGGCACAAAATCCATCAGGGTCTGACTGGTGGGGCCACTTGATCCACCATACCTTCTATGTGGTGACATGTGTTATGTTTACACAGGCCATGACGGGTACCCATCCTACAGTTGCGTTACTCCAATGTTGCTCTATGTACCGCAGTGCCTGGGCTGGGGGTACTACATGTTCTCCCACTAGCCAGCCCCACCCATAATAAATGCTGGGGGCTGGCGCACTGTGGGTTTTGTGGCGTCTTTTGTTCAAAGCTTGCCATGTTGCGTTCCATGCTTTGGCCATGGCACCCCAAGTCTCCAGCCACATCCAGTTCTCTGCAGATGCTGAATGTATGTGCCAAGGCAAGCTGTCTACGGCTGCTGCTGGAAGGTCAATGCAGATCCAACAGTTAGAAACATTAGTCACCTCAGTGTAGGTGTGGACCCAGTCCACAATGCAGTTGGAGCATGTTTGCCTATGGTCGAAATGACAGAGCAGGCACAGGTACTAACAGAGGTAAATCAAGTCCCTCAGGCAAAATACAGGCTAACCTTTCATCCCTGGATAACAATCCTGACACCAAGGTCTTTTGCCTTGGGCGATGGTACCACACCTTCTCAGCTCCCCGTGGTTCCTTTGAGTCCTGTATCCATGCCAAAGTCAGGGGTGGGGGGTGGGGAGCTCATAATAGGCCATACAGACAGTACATATGTCCCACAGAGGAGGGTTCCCTCCCTGACTGTTCCCCTATGAACAGTCAACCATGGGGGCCATGTATTGAACACCCACGGAGTGACATGCAAGTCCTACCATAGGCCCTCCCCTCAGGGAGCCACTATGGCCAACCACTGGCAGTGGGGGCCTTGGAGGGTCCGTGGCCACAGCCAGGTTTTCTGTTCCCCTGCCTTCAGGGGCACTGGGGCAGGCAACAACAGGTTACCGTTTATGCTCATACCTGGTTGGAGGAGGTCATCCTTGGCATGTGTCTGCCACTGAATGGGGACAGTGGCCGGTATAACAAAGCCACCACCAGGGCTCAGCCGCCTTTCCATGGCCATTTATTCAAGGTTTGGAGCACCAGGTGCAGTATGGAACTCCAGCCCTGCAAAGCTGAGGGTGTGACATGCAAGCCTAACAAGAGCCCATTATATCACTCAATCATACCCAGAGCTTGAGGGCTATATGGCACATGGAATTCCCACTTTGTGTCCATTTGTGGTGCCCATTGTGGCACCTGTTGTCCAGTGAAATGTGTTCCCCTATTACTCTCAGTGGCCAGAGGGTGACCATACAGGGCAAGTAAGGCTTGTTGCAGGGCCCTGATGGTGTTCTGTTGATCGGCCACCCTGCAAGGGTAAGCGAACAACAGGCCTGTGGCCATGTCCACAGCCATCAGTGCATGCATATAACCTTATGACTTTGGCAGCAGCACGACGTAGTCTACCCGCCACCTGGTCAAGGGCACGCACCCTATCGTTACTTGCTGTGTAACACTGGGCAACTGCCTCCATTTAGGGTATGCCTGAGCACACACCGGGCATTTCTGAAAAGGCTACCAAATGTCTTGCTTGGGCAGGGACAGACCCCAACGCTTATTGACCTGTTGCATCAGTTTACCCCATGCATGTCCCAGTTTCCATTGCAGCCACAAGGCCACATCTCATGTAGGTGCTAACTCTAACTATTGGATCTTGGCCAAGGAATCTGCCTCATCATTGCCAGGGGTGGCCAAAGGCATATGGCCTGGCACATGATAAATAGTTACCTCTTTCTGAAGACCCATTTCTCAGAGGTCTTGCCACATGGCTTGGCCCCAAATGGGTCGGTGGCCAACTTGCCACTTCTGTATTTTTCAGGTAGTTCACCACAAGGTTAAGCCTCAATAGACTGCCCAGCTATTGGTACAGATTACCATAGGTGTCACCTCCTTGGTGATCACCATCTATACTGCTCTAAGTTCAGCCCATTGGTTCTTTGTCCACACCCAGTTTCAAACCACATGATGTCAGTACTAGGTTGGACTGCAACAGTGGTTCAGGCAGCAGTAGCACCTCAGCTAGACCCATCTGTGAACTGTGTCTCTCAGGAATGGGTGGATGCCCTTCCTTAAATGGCGAAGGCTCAGGGTCCAGGTTCAGGGTCTAGATAAGGCCCATGGCCTTACCTTCCATTAGGAATACAGGTCCCAAGACCTCTTGCAACTGTGCTGCTAAGGGACTTGTACTCAGCATACTCTGCTGTTCCAAGTAGGCACCCCACTTTGCCAAAGTGGATATCTGTGCTGTCCCAGTCCAGGGGGTCATTACCCATGAATGCATCTATCCTGCTATTGGGTAAGTCGTCCACGCCACGACTGCAGCCTGTCCTGTCACACTCACAAACCCGAAGGGTGGGATATACAGCTGCTAGTGGTTTCTCTATCAAGGAATACTGGAGCTCAGCTCCCTTCCACAGTTAGGACTAAAAGCCTACTGGTATTCTCAAGTGCAATATCATCAAATAATGGAATAGGTGGACCCCTTCTGGACATTGCCAAATGGCTAAATCTGTAGCAACTAGACCACGACATATGGTGGGGCTATCTGCGGCAACACTGTAGAAGTCCGTTGTTCCCCATCCCACATGAAGGCAAACTTTCTGGCTCTCTCGAGTGATGTCTATGGAGAAAAATGCACTGGCCAAGTCCACTACACAGTGGTACTGTCCCAGTTCCATCATGAAATGGTCCATCAAATCCATGATTGATGGTACAGCTGCAGGCAAAGGGGCGTTACTTTATTCAGTTCCCAATAGTCCACCATCATTCGCCAAGTTCCATCAGGCTTTTTAACTGGCCACACTGGAGAATTGTAGGGGCTGTGGGTGCCACACACTATCTACATCTCTTACAGCTTTTTAATTGTCTCAGTTATCTCTGTATGCCCACCTGGCAAATGGTATTGATTGGTGGAAGAAACCCATCAGGGTTGTGGCAGGACCTGAGGCTGGTGACGTGTATGTCCGCGCAGCACCTTCACCACATGCACTCGGAGTCTGAATTCCCCAGCTGTGGTTTGTAATGCCAAGTCATGTAAAATGTGCATCCCCCGAATGTATCCCGGTATGGGAGAAACATGCACAGTATATAAATGGGGAGCCACATGGCCAATGCCAAGGTGCAGAGATACAGGTTTAATTTCACTGACCAGGCTCCATAACTGTCAATGTAAGCAGGTTTCCCCGGGAACTTATACGGGTTCCCATAAACAATGCTGCAATCTGTGCCAGTATCCACCAGCACCAGCACTTGCTGTACATTGGTGGGAGACCAGTGGATCACTAACTACACATGTGGCCTCTGTTTGTCTGGTGTCCCCCCAAACCAGGCACCTCGGCCAGTTCCCTAATCAAACAGAAAAGGCTCTACATTTCTGCCTGGCTGCAACAAGTGATTTTTGAGCTGAAGTGCCCGGGTGGGACCAGTCATGCAGCAATGTCCTTCTCCCCCTTGGGCATTTTCTGGCATTGCTGCTCCAGAGACAACTGTCTCCACAAAGTTAAGAGAATGTCATTGGGCTGCTTAGCAATTTTCTGTCGGTCAACCCTGGCCAAAATCAAATCTATCCACATCTTTGAACATGTCACTCGTTGGGGCCCCGTTTTCTCCCATAGGAGGGCCCCTGTGGGTGGGGCATCTTCCCTTTCTTTATGGTGCAGATCCCTCTGTCCCGCAGGTGGTTTTCTGTTTCCCCAACAGTTGCCATGGCAATGGTCACTTCAGGTATGTGGCACCCTACATGTGGTTGTGAGGACAGCAGCTAGGGAGCCAAAGGAGCTCAGGGGTGCAGAACACAACACGAGACCCCTCATGTGGGAGGTGAAATGTTGATCATCTGGCTCCCAGGTATTCAAGTCAAACATAGCCTGCCGCATACCCATCTCCTGGATGACTTGCACCAAATTGGCATAAGATTGCCATTTACTCACGGTTTTGGGTATTTCACAGATGTGGTTCCATACAGTCCGTATGGCTGCCCAAAGCCATTCAATCAGGGTGTGGTTACCTTGCCCTTGTGCCAACTGCCTGTCCACCTGCAACAGCTCGGGATCCTGTTCGTGATGCCAATTGTCAGGTTCTAACAGGTCTGAGGGGAGTCGGTGAGCAAGTGGCGAGTAGCTGGAAAAACACTGGAGGAATCGCAGACAGTTTCAATATGGGTTTACTCACTATCTGGGTGTGAGTGAGACTGGGCATCAGCCATATGTACAGCTTTAGCAGGGTAACTATATGTTTTATAGATAATAGTGGCTTGAGCCAAGCACGAGCTCATGTGTGTGATCACCTAATGTGCCTCACATGGTGTGGTTACAAAATGTATGGGGTTGGGCACCTGTGCTTCAAACCCAGTGAGGCATGCCTCACCGGAAGGCCACCTCTGCCTACTCCTGACTAAAGCACAGCCATTTCCCTTACATCTCTCTATTAGTTTTCTATTGCTGTGTAATAAATTATCACAAACTTGGCTGCTTTAAACTACGTTCATTTAGATGTAGATCACAATTGTGATCTATACAATTGTGTAGATCAGAAATCCAGATGAGCTCACCTGGGTTCTCATGAGGCCAAAATCAAGGTAATAGTCAGAATGGGCTGGAGGCTCATTCTGGAGGCTCATTTATCTGGAGGCTCTGAAAAAAATCCACTGCTACACTCAGGTAAGTTGTCAGCAGAATCTAGTTTGTTACATTTGGGGGAGTTAGGTCTCTGTTTCCTTGCTGGCTGTAGGCCAGGGGCCACTCTCAGCTCCTAGAGTCACCCTTGAGTCTTTGCATGTGGCCTCATCCACCTTCAAGCTAACATGAGTGCACTGTTTGTGTTTCTAGTCTCTCTGATGTACTCTCTGCTACCAGCTGAAAAAAATTCTCTACTTTCAAAAAGCTCATGATTAGATTAGGCCCAACTGGATAATGTCCCTTTTGATTAGCATTGGGTAAATTGATTAATGACCTTATTTACATCTGTAAAATTCCTTTTTCCATGTAAGGTAGCATAACCATGGGCATGATATGTCATATTAACAGTTATGAGGGTAAGGGTTGAAAATCTTGGGGGACTACGTTGAATTCTGGGTACCACACTGTCCCACTGCTTCCAGGCACAAAGTCTATGCCCGATGTGCTTGGCATCCTTTATTATCAGCCAAAAAGTACATTTAGGTGTGCCATGGAAAAAAACTTTCACTGTAGCCTGTGCTTTTTGAGGACTTGTGAATCAATGACAGCTTTCATCCATTAGGTCTAGCTATTTTGTATATTTATAGCTGAGGTAATAGACATGTGACATCAGCAAACAATAAAATTTCCTTTAGTATCAGTTCACTTATTATGAAGGGAACCAAATTTATTATGAAAGGAACCAAATTTATTATGAAAGGAACCAAATTGCTTGAAGATGGCTACTCAGAACAAGTATTCATAGTCAAAGGGGCAAACTACTCTAGCCTTCGAGTACTCACAGTAAAACCCTTAAGTTCCAAGTTCCTTTAAGAACCTTCTGTTAGTCTCAGGAAGTTTAATTTTTTTCTTTTTTTCTTTCTTTTTTTTTTTTTGGTACCTACTTGCTCTCCAGGTATAATAGTAGCAACTCCAGGACTGTCCTGAGTACCTGACTGTGGGGTACTATGTTCAATACCTGGGTTATGAGATTATTTGTACCCCAAACCTCAGCATCATGCAATATACTCAAGTAACAAACCTGCACATGTACCCTGAATCTAAAATAAAAGTTGAAAAAGAACAAAAAAGGATTGTCCTGAGTACCTTTTACGAGACTGGGTAGATCAAGGCTCCAAGTCCCAAGCTGCATTTACATAAGCCAGCACAGACTTCATTATTTCCAGAAGTCTTTTCTTGATAACTCAAAACAGCCATCTCCCCTCTAATCTTTGATACTATGATGTGTGAAACTGGGGTGATTTATCCACACCTTTGTTATTCATAGGGAAATGGGACGTAGGACAGCAGAGAGAGAGGTAGAGGAAGGATTCCAAAACTTCGCCATTACCCTTCTTTTCGACTCTTTCTTCATCTCCTTTTCATCCTTCCCAAAGCAGTTTTATCCTAAAACAAGCTCATTTTACATCTTTCTCCATTCTCTCAAACCTCGTATTTGGAACATAATCTTTATATCCTGAGACCTTTGGGAATTTATCTTTTGAAACACTTGAATCGTCACTCTTTTAAATTGAAAAATCGACTTCCAAGCTTATTGTCTCTCCCAGGAGCTGTAATGCCTGCTTTGCAATTAAAAATGTGAACATAAACTAAAAACAAAAAGCATAGAATTGTAATCATGTTTTCTGGTCTAATAAGGAATGCCCTATTTACTGCTGAAGGAGAGTTGGGGTTTCAAGGGAGCATGGGAGTGTGGTAAAGAGAAAAAGTAGCACAGTCTTTAAGGCTTCCAAATATCAGCACATCATACTGTAAGTCTGACCCTGAACTTAATCCCTTTTCTTAATCATGCTGTAATATTTCAGTAAATGGGATTGTTTTTACCATTTCTAATAGTTTTAGGCCCTTGATGATCTTGCCTAAATAATGTTCTATGAGCAGTTTTTGAGATAAAATATATATATATACACAGTGAAATGCATAGATCCTAGAGATAAACTGTTATATGTTTTGACAAATGTACATATCTCTGTAATCAACACTCCAATTGAGATATTTGCAAATCACCCCAGGAAATTATATTCCTTCTTCTTAGTTAGTCCCCACACATATAGGCAACTTCTGATCTATTTCTATCACCAGAGATTAAGTCTATTATTTTTAAACTTCACCTTAATAGAATCATACAATCTACAGTGTTTTTGTCTGGCTTATTTGTCTCGGCATTCAGTTACTAAGTTGCTTCTAGGTTATTGCATGCATTCACTTTTGGTTTGCCGGTTGGATGACTGGTTGGTTTTTGAGAATTACTCAATAGTATTCCATGATATTCACATGCCATAATTTGTTAATCAGTCTTCTATTGGGGTACCTTTGAGCTGTTTCCAGGTTTTGCAACAACTAATAAAGCTTCTACAAACATTCACATCTACACCATTTTGGAGACATGTTTTGGTTTCTTTGAAGTACCTAAGACTAAAATTGGGTCATGAAATAAATGTATATTTCATTCCACAGAAAGATACACACTTTTTTTCTAAAGTAATTATAGCATTTTACGCTTCTACCAGCAGTATATGAGAATTCCAATTATTTCACATCCTGACCAATATTGGTTGCTGTTCAACATTAATGTTAGCCATTTCAATTGGTATTATGTGTTATCTTATTGCATTTTGAAAGTTGTTCAATCGGTACTCATGGACATAAAGGTGGCAAAGATAGACACTGGGGACTACCAGATGAGGGAGGTAAGGAGGGGGCAAGAGTTGAAAACCTAACTGTTGCCCAGGCGCGGTGGCTCATGCCTATAATCCTAGCACTTTGGGAGGCTGGGGTGGATGGATCATGAGGTCAGGAGTTCAAGACCAGCCTGGCCAAGGTGATGAAACCTTGTCTCTACTAAATATACAAAAATTAACTGGGCATGGTGGTGGGTGCCTATAATCCCAGCTCTTTGAGAGGCTGAGGCAAAGAATTGCTTGAACCCAAGAGGCGGAGTTTGCAGTGAGCTGAGATAGCGCCACTGTACTCCAGCCTGAGTGACAGAGCGGGACTCCATCTTTTCACATTTATATAAAAGGTTATTGGACTTGGGTCTGTAATTCAGGGTTTCATCATATTTGGAAAGTTACTAACAAATTATTGCTCCAGAGTTATTTCTGTGGCTCCACATCACACCCTTCTCTTCTAGGATTTAACTACCCAAATGTTAACGTTTTCCTATAGGTTGCAAAGACTCTGCATTTATTTTTACTTCAGTATTTTTATCTTTTTGGTTCAGATTGGGCAATTTATATTAATCTGTCTTAAAATTCATCAATTATTTTTTCTGTCAACTTCAATAAATTGTTATGTCTATCCAGTGAATTTTGTATTTTAGTTATTGTATTTTACAGTCTAGAATTTCCACTGTTTTAAAGAATAATTTCTCTTTCTCTCCTGAGATTTCCTGACTCTTCATTCATTAAGATTATCTTTCCTTTAATATTTTGAGCATATTTATAATAGCTGCTTTATAGCCATTATCTGCTAAGTCCAGCCCCTGGGCCATCTTGGGTTTAGTTTCTATTGATTGAGTTTTATATCACCATGGATTATATCTTCTGGTGTCTTCATATCTAGTGATTTTTCATTTAATATTTGCCATTCTGAATGATAGCCTGTTGAGATCTGAATTTTTCTATCTTCTATTATTCACCAGACAGTTCAATTACTGCATGATCATTTTGATTTTATGTTGGCTTTGTTTTAAACTTTATTAGTATCAAGTGGAAAGTTCACATTTCTTCTCAAGCTTCTCTAACTTGGCAGGGCTCAACCTCTAAACTTCTGGAACTTGTTAGGGTATGGTTTTAAACTTCATTAATGTGGGTTTAGAGTAGCCCTTCTTGAATGTGGTTCTTACTTCTAAGGCAGAATTTTATTGATATCTCAGCTGGATGCCAGATTTGTTAATAAAATGTTAATATTATCTCTCTACTCTGACAGGAATTGAGCATCAGAGTTGCTTGTATCTCAGCACAGCTCGGTTTTTGATATCTTCATTCCACTCTCAACTTCACAGAAGCAGCTATCCAGTAACTTTCAGAAGTTTTCCCTGCTCACATACAGCCCAGCCATCAGACACAGGCTCACAGGAGACTCCCGTATTGGACTTCTGTTTCTCTCTGTTCAGCTACTTTCTCTCAAATGCTCTTCCCTACAGATTTCAGCTGCTTCATCAGCTCTGTACTCTGATCTCTACCTTCTGAGCTCCATGGGACTACTATCTTTTCCCTGGCTGTTGTTCTCTTTCTACAGCTGGAAAATTGTGCCCAGACAGAGAAAAAGATGTTTGTGGGACTTATGTTGTTTGTTTTCCTTCTGTCACAAACCAAAGTTCTATAATGCCTATAATCCAAACCTTAATAATCTTATTTTCTATATTTTCCATTTCTCTATTTATTTACTAACAGAGAGCTAGTCTAGTACCATTTACTCAGTTATGATTGGAATCAGAACTCAAACTGATGCATTCTTTTACAAATAATTTATTCCCTTGGGACTCATTCATTCTTAGGTATAAAATGAAACTGCTTGCCTCTAAGTGAACTTCTTGTTTTAAATGTTTTGTGGAAATGCAGGGTCTATTCAAATGTGAAGAAGATGACTTCCCTATTACTGTGAATATCAAATTATTTTGTGTGTTTTTTAATTCCTGAGTCAGGAGTTAGTGAGTTATGGAGCTATGTCTGCTTCAGTATTAAAGAATGCTGTGTTAGACATTAGTTCAGCAAATATTATTGACTGTAACTCTGTTTCAAGAACTATGATGGTTGGTGTGACATGTAGTTTTCTTCTTTAATATCATTTTGTATACAGTAAATAAACATCCGTCTTACATTCCTGAATGTTTACTTTTATATGTAGTTTGGTAATTCATTACTAAATATGCCATTTATTGTTTACTAAATATGTACCAGAAACTGTTGCCTGCTGTGAATATAATGAATGGCTGAGACCTAATAACCCCCTTTAAGGAGCAGTGTCTGTTAAAAAGACTTAGGCATATGAATAGTAAAAGCTAACTGATAAAACTGTGCCCAAAATATTTTGGGGATACAAATGAGAGTGAATAACTTTGCCAGAGGTTTCTGATAAAAGTTCCTAGAAAAGGTGAACTTCAATCTGTCAGACTCAGTGAGAAAAGGCAATCAAGGCTAAGGATTTAATCCTTATTGGTGATGAGATCATTGGCAAACATACACTTTCCTTCATTTCAGCCTGTACACTTTTCTCACTTTTAGCTTTTTTCCTTTCTAAAATAAGGACAATAATATTGACATTGCCATTCTGTTGGGAGGATTAGAAATTAAGGTTACATGTGTATGAAAATGATATTCATCATTATTTTGTTATACACCGTAACTGTTTTATTATTGACATATGTACTTTTCATTTCTATTGCATTGGTATGGGAGCTTTCTCCTATAAATTCTGATTTGTAAAATGTTTCAGTATAAATTATTGCATGAATTATCAGTCCTTAAACATTAAAAAAGTCAGTAAAAATAATATTAAATTTTAATTTTCTTTGTTAACTCAGGACTTATATTGGAATTTTCAGAGTTCCAGGATGCCATGTATATTTCCTTTTTCTTTGACCATTGCTACAGGTAGAGGAGTTTGTACTGAAATTTTGCACAGCCCAGAGGGAACTTTGTCATTTGTTTGATTGGTTATGTAGTGATATGTACTTTTTACACTTTTTCAGAAAAATGCAGTCTATTTTTTTCTGAACTATTCATCATTACTGTTTCCTGTCAGTGAATGAAAGATTTTCAAAAATACTTTCAACTTTTATTTTAGATTCATGGGGTAGATGTGCAGGTTCGTTACACGAGTATATTGCATGATGCTGAGAATTGGGGTTTGATTGATCCTGTCACGAATTGTTGAGCATAGTATCCCACAAGTAGTTTATCAATCCTTGCCCCCCTCTCTCCCTAGCCCCTCTAGTAGTTCCCAGTGTCTATTGTTGCCATCTCTATGTAGATGAATACCAATGTTTAGCTCCTACTTATAAGTGGAAACATGCAGTATTTGCTTTTTGTTTCTGTGTTAATTTGCTTTGCATTATGACCTCCAGCAGCCCATGTTGCTGCAAAGGATATATTTCATTCTTTAATGGCTTCACAGTATTCCACAGTGTATATATACCACATTTTCTTCATCCAATACCCTGTTAATGGGCACCTAGGTTGATTCCATGTCTTTGCTATTGTGAATAGTACTGTGATAAACATATGAGTGCATGTGCCTTTTTGGTAGAACAACTTATTTTCTTTTGGATATATACCCAGTAATGGCTTTTGCTCTGTCAAATGACAGTTCTGTTTTAAGTTATTTGAAAAATCTCCAAATTGCTTTCACAGGGGCTGACCTAATTTACATTCCCACTAACAGTGCATAAGCACTCCCTTTTCTCTGCAGCCTCGCCAGCATCTGTTATTTTTTTACGTTTTCATTATAGCCGTTCTGACTGGTATGAGATATGTCATTGTGGTTTTGAATTGCATTTCTCTGATGATTAGTGATATGGACCATTGTTTTTACATGTTTGTTGTCCACTTGTATGTCTTACATCTTCTTTTTTTCCTTTGAGACAGAGTCTTGCTCTGTCGCCCAGGCTGGAGTGGTGCAGTGGCATGATATCGGCTCACTGCAACCTCCGCCTTCCAGGTTCAAGCGATTCTCCTGCCTCAGCCTCCCGAGTAGCTGGTACTACAGGCATGTGCCACCACGCCCAACTAATTTTTTGTATTTTTAGTAGAGATGAGGTTTCACTGTGTTAGCCAGGATGGTTTCCATCTCTTGACCTCATGATCTGCCCGCTTTGGTCATATGTCTTCTATTGGGAAGTATCTATTTATGTCTTTTGCCTATTTTTTAATGAGGTTATTTGTTTTTTGCTTGTTCAATTGCTTGTTCAACTGTTCAAGTTCCTTACAGATTCTGGCTATTAGACCTTTGTCAGGTGCATGATGTGTGAATATTTTCTCCCATTCTGTAGGTTATGCTTGTTCTGTTGTAGTTTCTTTTGCTGTGCAGAAGCTTTTTAATTAGGTCCCACTTGTTAATTTTTGTTTTTGTTGCAATTGCTTTTTTGGACTTAATTAAAAGTTCTTTCACAAGGCCGATGTCCAGAATGGTGTTTCCTAGATTTTCTTCTAGGATTCTTATAGTTTGAGCTCTTACATTTAAATCTTTGATCCATCTTGAGTTAATTTTTGTATATGGTGAAGATAGAGGTCTAGTTTTATTCTTGTGCATATGGCTAGCCAACTATTCCACCACCATTTATTCAATAGGGAGTCATTTCACCATTGCTTATTTATGTAAATTTTTCAAAGAACAGATGGCTTTAGGTGTGTTCCTTTATTTCTGGGTTCTCTCTTCTGCTCCATTGGTCTGTGTGTCTATTTTTGTACCAGTAACATGCTGTTTTGGTTACTGTAGCCTTATAGTATAGTTTGAAGTCAGATAATGTGATGCCTCCAGGTTTCTTCTTTTTGCTTAGAATTGCTTTGGCTATTCAGGCTGTTTTCTTGGATCTGTTTGAATTTTAGAATAGTTTTTTCTAATTCTGTGAAAAATTACATTGATATTTTGATAGGAATAGGGTTGAATCTGTAGATTGCTTTGGGCACTATGGGCATTTTAAGAATATTGATTATTTCAGTCCATGAGCATGGAATGTTTATCCATTTGTTTGTGTCATCTGTGATCTATTTATTTCAGCAGTGTTTTGTAATTTTTATTATAGACATCTTTCACCTCTTTGGTTAGATGTATTCTTAGGTATTGCATTTATTTTTCAAATGCAACCTATTTTTATAATTTGTCACCTTATTTCTATCAACCCAAGTTTCCTTTCCCAAATTTCCTATTTCTGAACTTCTGTTATCACATTTTATCATGTGTTATGTTTCATCATTATTTTTCTTTAAAATATCTCTTCAATTAAGGATATCTGGGGAGGAATGGATTGTTTATTGTTCTCATTATTACATAATTAACTTTGTTCAATAATAAATTATATATACCATAAAACATACCCATTTTAAGTGTATTATTTTGACAAATTTACATGTTCATGTAACTACCACCACAATCAAATGATATACAATTTTCATTGGCCCAAAAAGGTCCCATGGCACTTTGCAGTTTATTCCTCCCACAAACCCCAAAATAGGCAAATCTTCTTTCCATCATTATAGATGACGTTTGCTTTTTCAAGAATTTCATATAAATTGAGTCATACAGTATGTGCTTTTTTGTACCTGTAGTCTTTTACTAAGCATAATGTATTATAGATTTATCCATGTGGTTGCATTTATTGGCAGTTCTTTCTTTTTTATTGCCAAGTAGTATTCCAATATCCGGATATATCAGATGTGCTGATCCATTCACCTGTTTATTTTTTTTTTCCAGTTTAGGGCTATTATAAATAATGCTTACATTCATATAAAAGTCTTTGTATAACAATGTATCTTAAATTTTTGGTTAATTTTGTTTTCGAAGCTCTGTAATTAAATGTATACATATTTAGGATTGTTATTTCTTTTTTATGAGTTGATTTCTTTATTGTTATAAAATGTGTGATTTTGGTCTAGGTAATATTTCTTGTATAGTAATTTTAGAAGTATAATTTGTCTCATATTAATATAACCACATCAGTCTTTTCTGTTAGCTTTTGCATGGTATCTCTTTTTTCTATCCTTTCTGTTTTAAAACTATTTGTGTTTTATATTCAAAGTGTTTACATGGTAGACAAAAACATTTAGTTGAGACTTCCTTTTATGGACTACTTTTTAAAATAGGATTATGCAGGCCATTTATATTTAATGCTATTTTCAATACAGTCTTGCTATTTACTTTCTATATGTTATTTTTTTCTTCCTCTTGTCTTTTTTAAACCTGTCTTTTTTTTAACTTATAAAGAAAAGAAGTTTATTTAGCTCATGATCCCAGAGGATGGGAAGTCCAAAAGTGAAGCACTGCATTTGGTGAGAGCCTTCTTTCTGTGTCATAATATATCTACCTTCTTTTGAGTTATTTTTTAGTAGTCCACTTTATCTCCACTATTGGCTTCTTAGCTCTATCTCCTTGGTTTTTATCTCTGTGTTTGTGGTGGCACTAGCATTCACACTATGCATATTTAGCTTACCATAGTCTGCCTTACACTTCCACGTCTCTCCTCATTCTCTGTGCTATTGTTTCTATACATTTTACACACATATGCACAAGCATTATACATATGTACACACATACTATATATTACATAGATACAATATATATGTATATGGTGAAAGGTAGAGGTCCAGTTTCAGTCTTCGGCATATGGCTAGCCAACTATTTATACATATACATATACATATATATATAAACTGAATTTTTTAAATTTTTCATTAGGCAGTGAAAATATTTATAGAAATTTTTAAGTGAAAATACATATATATACATATTTATCTACATATTTAACATCAGGTACTCTTCATTCCTTTGTGTAGACACAAATTTCCATAATTTTCTTCAGCTTAAAGAGCTTTATTTAACATTTTTGGATGGCTAAGAAGGTGATATCTTTCACTAGCAATGAATTTTCAGTTTCTATTCGCTTACAGCCAAGAAAGTCTTTATTTCACCATTATTTATTTAAATAACACATATTTGGGGATAATTTTTGTTGCATGTGAAAGCTGAGAAGATAGTGAAGAGAGTTCCCATATATTTCTTATTCAGTATCCTCCACTGTTAAAGTCTAATATTTCCATGGTACATTTGTCAAAACTAACAAACATGATGTTTGTATATTAATAGTAAATAAAATTTGTACATGTCTCTTTCTGTTTGAGGATTCAATCCAGGTTACCATATTGCATTTAGTTGTCATGTCTTAGCAGTCTCCTCTGGTCTGTGGGTTTGTGCTGTTTTTCCCATGATTAGATGAATTATTCATGATGATATTTGATGGAATTTTTTCTATATATAGAAAAATATAATTATATTTTTCCTGGGATTTGCACTCCCAATCTTCCTTTGAGCGCTTTAAGATGTTGTTCCAGTGAGAACACTTGGACACAGGATGGGGAACATCACACACCGTGTCCTGTCATGGGGTGGGGGGAGGGGAGAGATATAGAATTAGGAGATATACCTAATGTAAATGATGAGTTAATGGGTGCAGCACACCAACATGGCACATGTATACATATGTAACAAACCTACACGTTGTTCGCATGCACCCTAGAATTGAAAGTATAATAATAATAATAATAATAATAATAATAAAAGATGTTGTTCCATTGTTTTCCTGGCCACACAGTTTCAAATGAGGATCCTGAGATAATTCTTGCATATGCTCTTTTCTATTTGTGTCTTTTTCCTCTAGTAAGATTTTTTTCTTTACCAATTATTTCAAAATTTTGATTATAATATGACCTAGTGCGGTCGTCTTTGCATTTATCCTGTCTGGGAATGAACATTTGAAAAAATTTTTGGCATTAGTTTTTCAGATGGACCCTCTCCTTCCTTTTGGGCTTGGTTACATGCATGTTAGCACTCTTAATATTGTACCATAGGTCACTGAAGAGCTGCTGATTCATTTTTTCATTTTTTCCTTCTGTGTGCTTCAGTTTAATTTACATTATTATTTAAGTTCATTGATTTTTCTTCTGAAGTATCTAATCTGCTGTTAATCCCATTCATTTATTTAGTTTCATTTTAGCTATTGTATTTTCATCTCTAGAATTACCACTTAGTTTTTTCACATCTTCCATTTCTCTCATTATCGTCGTATTTTACTTTAAACCTTTAGCATATTTGTGAAAACTCTTTTAATAACCTTGTCTGATTATTCTAACACCATGTTATCTGTGGGTGTTTTATTGAATGGCTTTTCTCATGATTGTGGCCAAATTTTTTAGTCTTTTTTCTTTTTAAGCTATTTTTTCTTAATATTTAATTTTTAATTGACAGATAAGATTATATATATCATGTACAATACAATGTTTGGAAGGATATATAGATTGTGTAATGACTAAACCTAGCTAATTAACATACGCATTGCCTCAAATAGTTATTATTTTTGTGGTGTGAACACCTAACATCCATTCTTTTAGCAGTTTTCAAGAATACAATATTTTGTTATAGTTAACAAAAAATTATTAATTGCACCATGTTGCACAATATATCTCTTGAACTTATTTCTCCTGTCTAAATGAAATTTTATATCCTTTGAGTAACATCTATCCCTCTACTCCCTCTCATTCCCCCCATATCCTAGTGACCGTTAATCTACTTTCTGCTTCTATAAGATCAACTTTTTTAGATTCTACATATAAGTGAGAGTATATGTTATTTATCTTTTTATGCCTGGCTTATTTCATTTAGCATAATGTCATCCAGGTTTATTCATGTTGTCACAAATGACAAAATTTCCTTCTTTTTTAAGACTGCATGTCATTCCATTGTGTCTAGATAGATAAATAGACCATGTTTTCTTATCCATTTTTCTGTTGAGGTACACTTAGCTGGATTCCATATCTTGGCTGTTGTAAATAGTGCTGCAATAAGATGGGAGTGCAGATTTCTCTTTGACATAGTGACTTCACTTCTTTTGGGTATATAACCAGTAGTGGGATTTTTGGATCCTATGGTAGTTCTATTTGTAAGTTTTTCTGGATTCTTCCTGCTGTTTTCCATAATGGCTATACTAATTCAATTGTTGAGCTGTTTTTAATTGAGCACTGGACATAGTGAATTTTATGTTGTTGTGTGCTAGATTATGTTGTCTTCTTTCAAAAGTATTAGACTTTCTTCTGTCAGTTATATTTGGCTTAGTTTGAACCTTCTGAAGATGGTTTTTCCGATTTATTAATAAAGATGGTAGTCTTTATTCTGGGCTAGTTTAGCCCTGCTAAGCCATGCTTCTTATGGGTCTCAAGGACTTGCCAGCTCTGTGAGAGCTCTAGAAACTACTAAGACAGATCTCTTTCTCTGTGTCACTATCTCTTCTCTGGTCCTTTACGTTGCAAATTCCAGCAGCCCGGGGCCTCCTAAACTTTCATCTCTGTCTTCTCATCTTACTCTGAGAGCCATTGTCCTAGATTGTCACTTCAGAAATCCAGGTTGATATAGAATTACCTTCATTACTTTTCTTTTCTCATATATCTTAGTCTTACACTTGCACTGCCTGTTGCCTACTGTACAAAATCATGAGTTTTATTTTACTGAATGTTTTTTCTTCTTGATGTTTGGGGTTTTTTTAAAAATCTTTTTTATAGTAAGAGGATACGTTTAGTTCCATTTAAGGCCAGTCCTGGAAGCAGAACTCCAGTCTTCTAGTTTACGTTTTCTTTATTAGCAAAAGCCTAAGTCTTTATTGCTTGCAATCTGAATTTCTACAGTGGCCTTTGAAATGGTCACCTTGACCATCCAGTCTCCACACCCTTTCCCAAAGCATCCTGCAGATTATTGCTAGATTAATCTCCTATCCTTACTCTTTTCTTCAGACCGTTCCACTTAAAAACTTTATTGATTCCTCGTTACCCATCATATTTCAGGAAATATGGAAACTTCTGTGCCTGGATTTTAACATCTTTGCTAACTGGCTCCTCCCAAGCACAGTTTCTTCTCCTCCCTATGTACGCTATCTACTCTAGGACAATTCATCACTTTACTATTCCTAACAAATACCATAAACACTCTGACTTCACTTAGAATTTCTTAATTTTTCTTTTAACTTATTTTTTAAACAATTTCATTTATTTGTCAAGGCTTGACTCAAGTGTCTACTTTCTGTCATCCAGGGCCCTGGAGTTCTGTTAGGAAATTTTCTTCCTACCATTAGTCCCTAGGTCTCATGCATAGCAGTTCCCCTGGACTTTATCAAGCCTGAGTATGATGAGGAAAATAAAAGTCTATAGCCCCATGAGATTCTGCAACCTATCTGGAGGATTTGAACAATTCTTTCAGCAAATATAACTCTCTCCTTGTTAGAAATTCTCATTCCAAAGAAAATAACATTTATTTCATAATATGTTTATATAGCTAGGTATTATCAAACTAGTACCTATTATAAACTCAGCCTTGCTTAGGTATCATATCCTATCATCAAAAAAGTTACAATCTAAAATGAAATGTGGGTAACAAATAAGGGGGCAATTATAAAACAATAAAAGATAGTTTACAGATGATTTTTTTTTCTTCCAAGAAAAAGAAATATCTTGGATACTGTCTAAGTGCTTGGATGTTTATACAAATTATTTGAACCTTATGCGTCAACAAATCCTGACTCAAATTTTGGCAAGTAATGGTCATCTGTGGTTTCGAGTACTTTCTAAAGCAAATCATGACAGAAATCCCACTGGGGCAGCTTTTCTTGTTCCAGTGATTGCAGAATTTGGAATTGAGAAGATATAAGAAAAAGAAACAGAGAAGATCGTGCATGTTTGCATGTACGAGCAACCACACACCATGTTTACTCTTTCAGAAGAATCTATTGAGGTTTCCAGGATGGAATGTAGAGAGATTCAGGAGGCTCTTTCTTCTCTTTGTTCATTTCAAGAGACTGAAGTGTGTGCTAATTTGTTACTTGGTCTCATAGATTCTTTGCTCAGTGTTTACAGCTTCAGTTGTTGGAGAGTTCTGTTACCCAAACTATTGCCTTCTCTGTGCATAATTTTGTTTTTGAAAATAACTGTAAAGTCTTAAACGCATTCCAAATAGGATTTTGTTTTCTGGCATCAATAACACTAAAATTTTGTAGTATACGTATATACACTGGGTGTTAATTTATGTGTGTTGTGCATGTATATGTATATACATGTATGTGTATGTGCCTGTATATGTGTATGAAGAACCAAACACTAGCTTTCACAGGAGACGAATGTTGCCAAATAAGTATGCATATAAATTTCTATTTATTGGAAATGTACCTATTATAGCAACATAAAAAATCAATGTTTGTCCAATTATTTTCCACAGGCAATATCAGGCATTGCAGCATAGTTTCTCATTAGATTAAATCAAACTGTTCTTAAATACCATTTTACCAGCTGTTACTGGATAAAGGGTGAACAGAACAGTTTGTAGAAGCAAGTACGTAGCTCTCTGGCATGTGTTCCTGCCAACATCGCTACAGCTGTGTATATTGTTTATAAAAAAACGAAATGCCCTTAGTGGTTTTCCTTAAATTTTATTGAAGTGGGTTTTTTTTTTCCAGAATAATTTCTTATGTTTCTTAGGAAGATAAAACATTGCTGAAGCCTATAAAATAAGTCAAATTCAATATATAACTGAAAATATTTTAGACTTTAAATTAGAATAAAATGTGAGAATGAGAACAGTAAGAGGTAGATGCATCAAAATAGTCAAATAAATACCCCAATTTCCCTAAATAGGCTTTTATGTATTTGCTTTTTTAAAAAATTTACATTTCCAGTTGTTTAAATTGGGGTTTAATCAAATAATAAATAGTCAAAGGTTCTTAAACATTGACCCAATATAACATTAAAGGGCATACAGCTCAACTTTTTGCCTTATTTCCAAGTGTTAAATGTATATTTTATAACCTCAGCTAAGACGTTTTTTCCTACAGGTAAGAAACTGAGAAACACAGATGCTTAAGAGTCTTGATGGAGATTATATAATTTTTTAGTAGACAGGACTTCCAGGTCTCATAAATTCCAAGAGTACCATGTATAATAAGCAAATGAAGTTTTGTTACTGGAAATATAGACAGAAACATCTTCCTTAAATTCCATTCACTTTCACTATATCCTACTGAACAACAAAGTTTTTACGAATCACAAAGCACAAGAGAAATACAAAGTGTTAATATTTTAAATTATAACAAAATGAAACTTCAATATTGACTTTTATGAATGCATTACTAACAGCATTTAGATTTCAAGCAACTGATTAGTCATCTTAAGTATATAATAATATATATCAGATGGTGGAAATGAGTAATTATTTTCTCATTTTACCCTCAGCCTCTTCTTCTCTTATTTTTCTTATTCTTCTTCTCTAACATTTTAGTTTCTCCATGAACAAGCATATTCATTATTATTATTATCATTATTATTATATTGAAATGTACAAAGTGTTTGCCTAGCCCAATAGAAAGTTTGTTTATCGGCAGGGTGCGGTGGCTCAAGCCTGTAATCCCAGCACTTTGGGAGGCCAAGGCAGACGGATCACCTGAGGTCAGGAGTTCAAGACCAGCCTGATCAACATGGAGAAACTCCTTCTCTACTAAAAATACAAAATTAGCCAGGCATGGTGGCACATGCCTGTAATGCCAGCTACTCAGGAGGCTGAGGCAGGAGAATCACTTGAACCTGGGAGGTGGAATTTGTGGTGAGCTGAGATCGCGCCATTGCATGCCAGCCTGGGCAACAAGAGTGAAACTCTGTCTCAGAAAGAAAGAAAGAAAGAAAGAGAGAGAGAGAGAGAGAGGAAGGGAGGAAGGGAGGAAAGAAAGAAGGAAAGGAGACGAGAGGAGAGGAGATTTTATAGTGCCCTATTCCATACTTTTCATTCTAAACTTTATACTTAGATTTCCTTTCAGCATATTTAAATCACTATTTTCTGTGGTTTGGATGTTGTCTCCTCCAACATTAAAATGTGATTTCCAATATTGCAGAAAGGACTTAGTGGAAGGTAGTTGGATCATGGGGGAGGATCTGTCATGAACAGTTTGGCACCACCTCCTTAGTGATGAATGGGTTCTCACTAAGTTAGTCCATGTGAGATCAGGTTGTTTAAAAGAATGTGGAACCTCTCGCTTCTCTCTGTCTTGCTCCCACTCTCACCATGAGACATGCCAGCTCCCCTTCGCCTTCTGTCATGAGTGGAAGCTTCCTGAGGCCCTCACCAGAAGCAAATGCTGGCACTATGCTTTGTGTACAGCTTGCAGACCCATGAGCCAATTAAACCTCTTTTATTTATAAATTACCCAGTTTCAGGTATTTATTTACAGCAACACAAAAATGGACTAACACACTATTTTTTCTTTGCTTTACCATCAATTTCACTGCACAACTGAACGCTGATTTAAATCATTTTGATTAAATTGAGGATTTTTGAAGAAAACAGAAACAAAGAAAACCTGACCAATTGCTATCTTCTTGGAATCAAGGATAATATTGTTGTTTGCTCGGGCAACAAATCTGCTTCACAGATTTACAGATTTTCCTAACTATAACAGAAGTTCCAAACTAGTAACTTGAAGGCAACTCCTAGCTCACAGTTTTGTTTTTGCTTTTTTGTTTTTTTGTTTTTTTTCCATTCACAAATAAGGAGTCTATACAGGATACTCAGAATCTCTGGCCAACATTACTGTGCACCGGAACTCAGTGGAAACTAAGTGATGGTTGTTGTGGAGATAGGTATAGATACCCTCCTTTATCAGAGTCACCACCACTCCTTAATATCTTATATCAGCCCCACTTCATGCCTTTACTTTCCTACCTGAACATGCAGGCAGTTACATTTGAAACCCCTGGTAAACGCTGAGAGTGACTACAAATGTTAGGTCAAGAGCCAGAGCAGTCCTACAAAATGGCAGATTCTATGTGGCTGTTAAGAAGGTCATATTTGATCACATCCATAATGTAATTTTTAAGATCTTTCAAACAAATCACTTTATTCCCCTGCTTAAAATACTTCAGTGGCTCTGAAGTAGCTCCTTAGGGTTCCCTTTTACTTTCCAGAGAAATCTTTTGTCACTGACACTCATCCCTCTTCCACAGCTCTCGTACAAAAGCTAGATTGAATGACTTTCAGGTTTCATAAGGCCTAATTAGCTCTCTTGTACCAGTTAGGTCTTTGATCATCGTGTTCCCTCTCCCTGATGCAATGCGCCTTCCTGCACCCACAGCTTACTAACTCACACCTCACCCAAAACATCATTTCCTCCAGGAACCTTTCCCTAATTGGCTAAACCTGACGAGGAAGGTCCTTCTATGTGCAGTTGCACTTTACTGTGTATGGCAGTTGCGTGTTTGCCCATCGCTCTGCATCCCTGCTTTGACTGTAGGAGGCAGAAAGTCAGTGTCCTTGTATTTTTCATCATCATGCTTCCACTGCCTAGGAGTTCCCTGGGAAAATAAAGACATTTGAAAATTTAGTAAATAAAGCAATGGATGCATTAGTTGAGTTTTCCGTGGGTGGATGGTTAGAGTTCCCACAACTCTGCAATGAGGGGCAAAGCCAGAAAAGATGCTCTGTTATTCTTGGAGTGGTCACTTTGATTTCTGTCTTATGTTGGCCTGGTTGCCTTGTATACTTTCCCTGTGTATATCAGTTCCAGGAAAGGTTAGGCTCTAATAAACTTTTGGAGCTAGTTGTTTGTCTCTCAAGCCATACACATTTTTAATCCTTCCTCCACTCTGGATATCCATCTGGGAAAATGCATTCAGTGACAATGACAGTCAGCACCTGGAGCTGGGCTTCAGTCCTCAAACTCTACTTCCATCCATTTTCCTGAACGTTTTTTCCCATTTGAACCTCTCAGATTCCAGTCTTTTTGCTCCTGCCTCTGCTAGGCCCTTGAAATAGCGATTTGCTTTTTTGTGAGTATCGATTTGGTTCTTTATCCTTCTTTGGCCCTAAACACTGCTTTTCACCCTATTCCTTAACCCCATGCCTCTCCACACCTCTGACACTGAGTCCCTCCCCCCAGTTTTCTGCCCATCACCCTGCTTGCCTTGGACAGAAGCAGCACGTGAGCCATTGCAACTGGCTACTTCCTGCCCTCATTTGCCCTTGAGTTCTTTTGCTCTCCCCAGCTTTCTTCTTCCCTGTACTCTAATCAGTATCTTTCTCTTTTCACCAGTGTTTTTTAATGATTCAACGGTAGGAAGTTTAAATGTGAGTTTTTCATTTTGGTATTAATTTAAGAATTAACTGAGGTATGCTTTGGATTATTTGGTGTTTTCTTTCATTTTGTTTTGAGATAAGATATTTGCTCTGTCGTTCAGGCTGCAGTGCCGTGGCACGATTATAGCTCACTGCAACCTCGAATTCCTGGGCTCAAGCAATCTTCCTGCCTTGGTCTTCCAAGTAGTTGAGACTACAGGTGCATGCCACTGGGCCTGGCTAATTTTATTTTTATTTTTTGTAGAAACAGGGTCTCACTGTGTTGCCCAGGCTGGTCTCAAACTTCTGGACTCAATCGAACCTCCCACATGAGCTTCCCAAAGTGCTAGGATTACAGGCATGAGCCACCATGCCCAGCCTTTAAAACTCAATTATTGCCAAACTGCTTTTGTGCCCATATTCCAGTTTGTGTTTACCTTGGTAACAATGCCAAATAGCACTGACATAATGATCCCAAGCTAATGAAAAATAATGAAGGCAGAATAAATATGTATGTGATTCTGTAGGTCAAATACGTAAGTGATTCTCTAGATCAAATAAAGTCCAAATAACATCACAGACGGGAATATCATGCAAATAAATATTTTTGCAGTAATTAATATAAAGATAAGTGCTGGAAAAACTAAGTCATCACAAAATAAATAGCAGTACAAACATGATAAATTCAAAATACTTTTTTGTGATACCAATTGACATTGTGTGAGCTGACACTTTTATTTTTGGAAAACATCATTTGTAACATAAAATTGTCACCAAAAAATGAATTGTATTGTTTGGTAAAATTTGTATTTAACTTTGAAATTTAACTTGCTTTTGTGTAAGAGTTGTAAGTAGAGAGAGTTTAGATATAGATAGCTTTTGTTTAAAGACACCTAAATAAAATAATAGTAAATATAACAATATTGGGAGTCCTTGATAAAAAAAAAATTAAGCAACACTGACCTGTACACTTGCACATATTTCAACCAATATGGCTTCTTCTCGAACCCTTTTCTTGGAGGGCTTATCTTAATTATGGGATCCAGTTCAGTTTATAAATTTGTGACAAGAACAAAAAAAGATGTTAAATCATAAGTGTTTGCAATCTGCCACCTCCCTGTGCTTGCCAAAGAAAAGTCTGTCTGAGGCTCCAACCCTCACCTAACTCTAGTTTCCTCAGAATTACCTTCAGGGAAAAATGAGAATCTACCAGGTAATATCAAAAGCAAAAAGCTGAAATAAAGAAGACAACTTTAATGAGTTCTTAATTTAAAAGGGAGAAGAATAACCCTTATACAAAGCAAGAATAGAAAATTGTAGAACAATATGCCTTATAAATATTGATGTACAAATCCACAACAAAATACTGAAAGACCAAATTTAACAGCATATTAAAAGATTATACACCATGACCAAGGGGAGTTTATTCCTGGAATGCAAGGATAGTTCAACATACAAAAATCAATTAATGTAATACACTACATTAGTAGAAAAAAGGGAAAATATGATCATCTCAGTTGATGCAGAAAAATCATTCAACAAAATTCAACACCCTTTCATGATAAAATCACTCAACAAACTAGGAATAGAAGACGACTACTTCAGCATAATAAAGGCCCTATATGTACAAACCTACAGCCAACATACTCAATGATAAAAGACTAAAAGCTTTTCCTCTAAAAGGAAAAAAAAAATAATTCCTCTAAAAGGAACAAAAAAAATAGGTCTTTTGTCACTTCTGTTATGCATAGTATTGGAAATACTAGCTGGAACAATTAGTCAAGAAAAAAATGCAAGGTATCCAAATTGGAACTTAGCATTAGTATTAACCTTTGGAAAAGAGAAAGCAAAATTATTTCTATTAGCAAGATGATAGATAGTATATGTAGAAAACCCTGAAGATATCCCAAAAATCTATTAGAACTATTTTTTCTATTTATATAATTTATTCCTTTATATACTCGTACCTTTATTTCTTACATTTGCCTTAATTTATAAAGAACTTGACATAATTGCATGATCTATGAATATTATTTACATATATAAATGGTAATTTAATTATTTAATAATATAATTGCATGATCTATGAATATTATTTACATATATAAATATTCATGTATATATGTAATTTATTTATTTAATTATTTAATATTATTTATTTATTTAATTTAATTTAATTTATTTATTTAATTTAATTATTTAATAATATTATTTATTTTTATTCCTCTACTTTTTATTTTTAAGAATTGCAAAGCTATAGGAAATTGAAAGAATAGGTCAATGAACAGCATATATCCTTCACTTAGATCCACCAGTTGTTAACATCTTCTCACATTGCTTTATCTCTTTGTATCCCTCTCTCTCACAGACATGCACACTTCATGACAAAACCACTTGAAATTTAACATTGATACAATATTTTCTAATACACAGTCCATACTCAGGTTTTCCTGATTATCTGCAAAGATAACCTTTATAGCTGTGTTTTTTAATCCAAGATCCAATCAAGGTTCACACATGCCATTTAGTTTTTTATGTTTCTTTAGTCCTCTTTTACTTAAACAGCATCCTGCCTTTTTGTTCATTTAAGTTTTTCATGACACTAACATTTTTCGAAGAGTTCAGATCAATTGTCTTAGGAAATGTCCTACCACCTGGATTAGTCTGAGGGTCCTTGTCTTTATTTTCTGGATATTCAATGTTCTATAATCTATTATTGTCTTTTTTTATTTTCACATTGTCTCAAATTTAGCCAGTCAGGTGGTTGTTCCTATGTTCTTTTGACATCTTCCCATCACTCTTTCAGCAATTCCTTGCTTTCTGGCATAAGATGTTTCATGTTTATCTAATGCAAGACCTGGAATCATCTAATACTCCAGGGAGTCCTCCCCTTTTGGTGGAAATAGTATTTGGAAACTAATATAACCTTGCTTGCAACATGTCACTGCATCCTGGCCCTTTCAGTGGACAGAGCTAGGAAAGAGAATCTATTAAAGTCATGAGTTCATTAAAATTGATGACCCATTTGGAGTTTATTATAATGCATGCTATGAATATGGAATCTACTTTTTTCCAAAATTATCCAGTTGTTCCAAAACTGTTTTATCTATCCTGCTCACAGTAATTTAATATACAAATTTGTTATATATTTACTTTCTGTATTTACTTGAATCTAATTTCTGTATATACTGAAAACCTATTAGAACTATTAAAAAATTCTGCAATGTCGCAAAAATACAAAATCAACACACAAAAATTAGTTACGTTTCTACACACTAAAAATGAACCATCTGAAAAGAAAATTAAGTAAATGATACAATTGATAATAGCATTAAAAATAAAATATTTAAGTATAAACTTAACCAAGAAGGTGCAACACTTTTATACAGAAAACAATACAGCTTTTAGATTGAAGGAAATTAAATAAGACACCAATAAATAGCTCCCTCATATTTGCAGATTGAACACTTAATATTAAGATGTCACTACCCAAAGCTATCTAAAGATTCAATATAATCTCCATCAAAATTTTCAATTACTCAGAAATAAAAAATTCCATCCTAAAATTTATATGGAATCGAAAGAAAACTTCAATCGCCAAAATAATCTTGAAAAAAGCAAAACAAAGTTATATATCTTGCACTTCCTGATTTCAAATTATATGACAAAACTATAGTAATCCAGACAGTGTGATACAGACATAAAGGCAAACAGAGACTAATAGAATAGAATAGAGATCTCAGAAATAAACCATCACATATGTGGTAAAATGATTTTTGACAATGAAGACCCACCATTCAATGAGGAGAAGAGTCATTTTAACAACTTGTTTTTGGAAAGACTGGATACCTTTACCTTACATCGTATACAAAAATTAACCGAAAATGATCAAAGCCCTAAGCAAATGTAAGAGCTAAAACTATAAAACTCTCAGAAGAAAACAGGAAGAAAGCTTCATGACACTAGATTAAGCAATAATCTCTTGGGTATGACACCAAAGCACAAGCAAAAACAGAAAAAATATATAAGTTGGACGTCATCTAAATTAAAAACTTTTGTGCCTCAAAGAACATTATTAACAGAATGAAAATGCAACCCACAGAGTGGGAGACAATATGGCAAATCATATATATGATATCATATATATGATAAGAAATTAATATTCAGAATATATTAAAAATTACATCTCAAGAACAAAGCAAACAACCCAATTAAAAATAGGCAAAAAACATTAATAGATATTACTCCATAGAAAATATACATTAAGTACATGAAAAGATCCTCAGCATTACTAATCAGCAGGGAGATGCAAATCAAACCCACAATAAGATAACACCATTAGGGTATAACCATTAGGGTGACTATTATTAAAAATAAAACAGAAAATACTTGTAAGGATGTGGAGAAATTGGAACCCTTGTGCATCGCTGGTGGGAAGATAAAATTGTGTGGCTGCTAATGAAAACATTATGGTGGTTCCTCAAATAATTAAACATAGAATTGCCGTAATATACAGTCATTTCAACTTCTGCATATATATATCCAAAAGAAGTGAAATCAGGGACTCAATCAGATAATTGTACATCCATGTTCATAGCGTCATGATTTGCAATAGCCAAAAGGTGAAAGAAACTCAAGTGTCTGTTAAAAGATAAATAGATACATGAAATGTGATACACACACACACACACACACACACACACACACACAATGCAGTATTTCTCAGTCTTAAAAGGAAGGAAATGTCACCCAGTGTGGTGGTGCATGCCTGTATTTTCAGCTACTTGGGAGGTTGAGGCAGAAGGACCACTTGAGGCCAGGGGTCCAAGACTTCAGTGAGCTATAATCATGCCTGTGAATAACCACTGTACTCCAGCCTACAGTGTAGAAAGATCCCATCTCTAAAGCAAACAAATGAACAATTAAATAAATGGAAGGAATTTCTGATATAACACTAAGTAGACTTGTACATACTCTTCTTTGAGTTGATCTTTTCCTAGCTATCCCCATAAATATTCATAAATTTTTTTGAAACTCTTTTTAATGTTTTATTTGCTCATTTAGAAAAATAATTCAAACATGAAAAAACAAGGAATGACCTCTTGTAGTGTAGAAAATCAAAACATTCTATTTTTAGAATAACAAATGAACAGAGAAAATGAAAAAGGGCAGAAAAACATTTAATTTGACAATCTGTCACACACAAAATAGAGCAGCAATGCTGTGATGAACAGACCACTACATATGGAAGAAACAATCATTTATCCTCAAGTGTTCTTGCTTTTATTCTTATTCCACAATTCTTTGTAAACTTGCAAATACAAAATATTCTAGCATGAATAGAAGGGAAGATGCAGGCACAACAAATTCAAGAGCAAATGTGTAAATTTAATTTACCACTGAGGAATATGAGAAATTTGCATCAATAGCTTAAAGTTGCGTCTTGGTTCCTTTAAGACAACAAGAGTTTTCAACTCCTTCTATTGAAATACATTCAAAAGGAGAAGCTTTCTTCTTTCCAAAACATTTTAAAGTTGAAATTCAATCGAACTATAAAATTGCCTTTCTTCTCAGGGAAACACCCAAATTCATCTATTCTTTTTTAAAGATTTTTTTTTTAGAAGAAAGAAACCTCTTCTGATGAAAACCCTACAAATGTTTGGACTGATGCTATTAAAAAATGCATGATCATTTTAGTTCACTTGAATCCCTTGTTTCCTTTAGAAAAATGCGTTGGTACAGCTCTCTGCCATTTGCTTTCATGACTCTATCAAGCATCTCAAGATCACTGCCTAATAGTTTGCAACTCTCCTTATTCTCCCACAAATGAACTCATCAGCTTATTGTGACAGCTTAGTTTATCAAGAATCCACTTCTTCACATTCTGACTCATTATATACATCTGAAAACATTCGTATTTTCCTTACACAAGTGCTTAAACTCATCATACATTAGCTTCTTCATCTGTCAAATGGGCTAATACAGGGTGATGTGTGAATTGATTGATATTAATAATAATAGCTTACATTTATTGAGTATATTATGCACTAAGCACGGTGCTTAATGTTTTACATTTGGAGGAGCATCATAGTGCAGTGGTTAAAGACCTGGGCTCTGGGTTCAAACAGCCTGATTTGAAACTTTCTCTAATTATTCCCTACCAGATATTCACATGTAATTGTGGGCAAGTTGCTTCATTGCTCTGTGCCACAATTTCCTCATCTGTAAATAATAATTCCTACCTTATTGAGTTGTTATGAGGATAAAATGAGTTACTAATAGGGCCTGTTATTTGTTAAATAAAAATATCCTTACATGAGTTAAATATTTTATACCCTAAACACATATGAAGTGCTTGAATATCATGAATACTGAAAAAACTTTTTTATTCTTAATCTGAGTTTACATATATTTTGTAATATTGATGTTATTGATAAGCAAGAAACAATGATTAAAGCAAAAGAGAAAATCAACACTTAGAGGTCTGACTTAACCAGACCTTCTGCTTTGGCCGGTTGCAGGGATGAATGTCTTTGTAACAGCTGGAGGAAGGTTGGTGGAAGGGCTTGGTTATCTGAGAATGTGAGAATGAGTAGTGTCTTTTTGGGATTTTTCTCTGTTCTCCTTGTGCACATCTCCTAATTACACTCATCCTGCTGATATATTCTCTCCATACTGGGACTTCCTCTGGCTCCAGCACTAGGAAGACGAAATACAGTTGTAAATTCTGTAACCTCTTTGGTACCATTTCATGATAACCTTGAGGGTCACAGTGCATAGTTTGAGGAATACTGGTTTAAGCTATATTTTCTCTGCTTGTTGATGAGTGTGTCATATGGGACAAAATCAGAGGCCATCCAGAGGTTGAGATGTATTGCATGTATTGCTTTTCTGCTATCTACAATGTCCTCTGCTCTGTCAGCAAAGGCTATTAGATTGGTCTTTGATAACTTGCTCTTCTAACTGGTGTTAGTTATTACCTTGCAATCTGAGTGTTTACAAATTGATTTTCATGCTCCAATATTTTTACATAAACTGAAGTTAGCATGGATTGGTCTATAATTTCTAGCATTTACAATAAGTTTTTAAGCAAATCTTCATAGAATCTTTCTCCTATCCTTTGAGCATCTCTCTTATCACCTGTAAGTTCTCAGGATAATTCAGCCAATTCATTATTTCACTGCAAGATGACTGTTGTCAGCCCTGCTGAGATAAGCACACACCTGTATTTTAGGCTGTTAGACTCTGCTGTTTGTATTTTATCTTGTTAACCTTCCTTTTTATCTCTCTCTCTTCTTCCCTCTTTCTCTCCCCACCTTCCCTCGTTCCCTTCTCTTTCCTTTGCTATACGAGTAAAAATAAAGGCCACATGAAAAATTGCTTGTTATGAATTAACTTTCTTTAATTTTCTTTCTTACCATAATGGAATATTAATAATGCCTGCTGCTTGAAGTATGATAATCATACTGTGGTCATGTTTTTTGAAAGAGTTTTTATCTTTCCATGATATGTGCTAAAACATTTCAGTTTGAAGTTATATGGCTGAGATTTTCTTCAAACTAAAGCCAAGCCATAGGCAGGTTCAGGTATCTAATAAATATACCAGGGCCGGAAAAACACAAGAGCTTGCTGAGTACCTGGTGTCAAAGCAGGTGGTTCATGGAGGTCCTGATTCCAGACTGATGAAGAGAGCTGACAATGCTCCATGTGTGGCATTATGATAACATCTCGGAGGTCTTTAATTCATACCTACTTTATATTTATAAATAATAACTTATCCGAGTGTGCTTACACAGAAAATGCACAACATGAGGATTTGGCTGGTATTTGTGTGTTCTTGTTCTTTTTCTGCAAACTCTACATCAACACCACCACTCACTTCAACATCATTTCTATGCTGATTTTTCTTCCAGCTCAAATGCCATCTCTGCAAGAAGCCTCATATATAATAGTTCCTTTCTCTGGATGAGTCTGTCTTGACCTCCTTTATGGCTCTTCCATGCCCTACAATATATTGTAGCTGTGTACATATCTGTGTCCATATTCATATCCTCTACTTAACAAAAAGCTCCTTGAGGGTGTTTTCTGTTTGTTTGTTTGTTTGTTTGTTTTTGCTCTGTTGCACAGGCTGGAGTGCAGTGGCACGATCTCAGCTCACTGTAACCTCTGCCTCCCGGGTTCAAGCGATTCTTCTGCCTCAGCCTCCTTAGTAGCTGGGACTACAGGAGCACGCCACCACACTCAGCTAATTTTTGTATTCTTAGTAGAGAAGAGGTTTCACCATATTGGCCAGGCTGGTCTCGAACTCCCGACCTCGTGATCAGCCCACCTTGGCCTCCCAAAGTGCTGGGATTACAGGCGTGAGCCACCGCGCCCGGCTGAGGGTGCTTTCCAATCCAATATGTCTTTATGTCCACCAGCACCCAGTGCTTTGCTAAGAAGTCTTCAATAAATAAATGTCTGTTGAATGAATAAATGGTGGGTGCAAAAGTTTCCAGACAAGGAAAGGCAAAAGCAAAAACACATCACTTTGGATCTTTCTGCAAAGTAGTCTTCGTAGATGAAAAGACTCTTCTAGACTTAATTAACAATAAAAACTTCATTAACTCATAACAGCGACTAGTATTTGCTGCAGCCTTTCTACAGAACATTGTCTCTTCTTTCAATAGCAGATCAATGGCCACATTTTGTAGAATGATTTGCTCATAAGCTGTCAACATCCACATAGCTCTTTTGTACATAAAGCAAGATAAACTGAAGTTGGAATTGGCTATCCGGAAAGTTAAACTACTTCTCTAAATACAGAATGCATGTTTACTGCTTCATGAGCCTTTTGGCAGTTTCCCTAAAATGACCAGCATTACAGCCATGTGAACATTTTGAAGATTACACCACAGCCATTCTTGTCTTTTTTCTTCTCCAACGATTACTATAATGTGTTCATTATGGGAAAGCATGCCCTAACAATGCCTCGCTGAATTTTAAGGGAGCAGTAGTTGAGAGAAGCACTGTAAGTCCGACAACCGTTAAGAAATCAAAATGTACAGACCAAAACTTATTTTCAAAGAAATTAAGTTCCAAAAAAGTCTCTGGGTGTGTGTACTGTTTTGGAGAGTTTATATTCTGCTGCTAAATACTGTAGTGGCCGGAATAAAAGCTGACAAGAATTTTTTTAATCTATATTTTAAAATAAATAGAATAACAAAATTGGCACTCCTCAAATTCAGAGATATTTGCTAAGGATTTTTTAAATGTGTAAATGTAATCATCACAGTCTTATTGCAAAGAAAAACAAAAGGAAATAATTTCTGTTTTTGTGTTTATATATGATGATGAAATAGGTAAGCATCAAACATTGAACATTCTATTTCTTTTCAGTCTTGTTAGGTAGATGGATGTGGCAGAGACTGTTTCCCTCCCAAACTGTGTACTTTGGTCCAAGACCAGGGTGAGGCAAGCAAGGCAGCTAGGGCTGGAATATGTAAGGAGACTCTCAGATTTCTGCAAATCCCGGTCCTGCATTTGTGTGACCCTGAACTGGCTGACCTTGAGAATGACTGGCTGACCTTGACAGTGACCCCTTAAATTTTGCATACTCAGCTTCTGGCTTGCTTCATTCAAATCGTGGCAATTGCTTTGCTTTGCAGCTTGACTGCATTTCCCAGCCTCCCAGATTAGGACGTATCTTGTAACTGAATTCTGTCCAGTGGAATACGGATAGAGTTAGTGTTTGCCCCTTCCAGTCTTGACCTACAAAGTTCTCTAAAGTATTGTGATGGTTAATTTTATGCATCATCTTGATTGGGCTAAGGGATGCCCAGATAGCTGGTAAAACATTATTTCTGGGTTCGCCTGTGAGGGTTTTTCTGGAAGAGATTAGTGTTTAAATCAGTAAGCTGAATAAAGAAGATCTACCTTCACCAACGTGAGCAGGCATCGTCCAATCCGTTAAGGGCCCAAATGGAACATAAAGGTGGAGGAAAGGCAAATTCTCTCTTGTTGTGTGTGTGTTGGGACATTTATCTTTTCCTGCTCTCAGACATGAGAGCTTCTAGTTTCGGGGCCTGTGGATCCTGGGACTTACAGTACCCTTTCCCCTGGTTCTCAGGCCTTCAGTCTTGGGCTGCAAGTTACATTAGCAGCCCACCTAAGTTCTCAAGCTTTGGACTTGGGCTGGATTATACCACTGGCTTTTCTGGATTTCCAGCTTGTGGACAACATATCATGGAAGTTCTGGGCCTCCGTAATCATGTGAGCCAATGTTTACCATAAATCTCTTACATGTAGATATCCTATTTGTTCTGTTTCTCTGGTGAACCTTGAGTAATTCAAGTACAATCCTCCATGCTTCTTTCCCTCTACCAGCTGATAGAGAGGGATTTAAGGATGTAAACTAGGGTGCAGCCACAGTTTGGAAGGAAACTGAGTCACAGAGTTGCACAGAGAGAAGAAATGCTTGGGAGAGCTGTCCAACCAGAGACATCCATGTTAGATCCTTGAGTAAATAGAAATTAACTTTTATCATTTTAAGAAAATAAACGTAGGGAGTTGTTTGTCAAGCCATTAGCCTACTCAGGTTTATAGTCACTATAATTTCTTTATTTTTTTCTTTTTGGAGATAACAAAAGCTCAAAAAATCTGTTAGTTGCTAAAGGTCACATAGCCCAAGTAAGCCTAGGATTTGAATTCTAGTCTATGTGTCTTTAAAGTGCACATTATTCAACCCGCTCATTTTGTGTTCTAGAAATCACTAGAAGTGACTACTGAGAATATACTTAATTCAATTAGTAAATCTTTCCAAATATGTATCCAAAATGCTATATGATAGTTTCTCAAACACTCTCAACCATAGAAGCTTTAAGTGAGAAAATAAGATGGGATTGTTCTTTACAGTAAGTCTTTTAAATTAAGTAAATTTACCATAAAAATGTAGCCCTGTTTGGATTTGAGCTGCACCCCACCTCCCACTCCACACACCACACACACACTACAGGCCCCCTTTCCACTGTGGCTCACCAGATCCTCCCAACTTCCAGATTTCTGGCTCTGGTTCTATTAGATTCAGCCACAAATTGTGGCAAATAAAAGTTGATGCAATACTAAAGCGTCATAGAGAAGAAATATTCCCTCTTCTGCTTTATTGATCCCCAAATTTTACTGGGAGAAACTCATATTCAAACAGTGAAGCCATCAGTATCTATTTGTTATTCTTACAAAGGATAGTTCATTTGTAGATCTATTCTGCTAGGTAAACACATATCCAGGGTCTGTTTGGGGTTTGTTAGTTTTTTGTGTAGAGAATCAAGCCAATTACAGGGAGCAACACGAGACAAGGGCAGGAGCACAGCCTGTAGAAATCAGCTCCCAAGTCCAACTAAGGCACATTATCCCTCCAAACCATGAGTTTACTGATTTTTCTCTCTTCAAAGCAAATCAACGAGGAGACATGTACATTTAAAAATAAAATAACTAGAGTTATTTTTAAAATCTCTATGGTTTTAATAAATAGCTCTATTTATTAAATAGAGAAATAAATAATAAACATTGTAAAACATCACAATGTTTTTTTTTAACTTGATTTTTATTTTTTTTATTTTAAGTTCCAGAGTACATGACCAGGATGTGCAGTTTTGTTACATAGGTAAACATGTGCCATGGTGGTTTGCTGCACCTATTAACCCATCACCTGGGTTTGAAGCCTAGCATGCATTTGCTCTTTTCCCTAATGCTCTCCCTCTCCCCACCCTCCCCTGACAGGCCCTGGTGAGTGTTGTTTCCCTCCCTGTGTACATGTGTTCTCATCCCACAATGTTTTCTTACTGAAAATGTGGAAACGTCTACAACTGTTTTTTGTTCTTTTTTCTTTTTAATTGAAAGGTAAAAATTATATATACATTTCTGTATTGCTTTTTTCATATGATAAAAAAGGATATAGTAACCCCACCTTATCCTCGGGGGATATGTTCCAAGACCAACCTTGGATACCTGAAACATCAATTAGCACTAAACACTATATATACTATATTTTTTTCCTATACATACATACCTATGATAAAGTTTAACTTATAAATTAGGCATGGTAAGAGATTAAAAGCAATAACTAGTAATAAAATAGAACAATTATAACAATATACTGTAATAAAAGTTATATGAATGTGGTCTCTTTCTCTCTCAAAAGAGTCTTATTATATTGTATTTACCTATATTCAGACTGTGGTTGGTTGCAGGTAGCTGAAACTGTGGAAAGTGAAACCACAGATAAGGAGGAACTGCTGCAAACATGAATATCTTTGAAGCTGGTTTTCTTAATTTAAGTAGTGAAATGATGTGGCCTAAGGAAAAGATCGGAGTATTTGCTTTTGAACGAGCGTGATTATTTGCCTGGTTCTTTCATATATTATATAAATAACAGGAAAATCATTTAATATCTCCAATATTCAATGTCTCATTTGTAAATCAAACACATTAGTAATATCTAAATTATAAAGTATAATGATATGAATATCTTTGTGATAAAATTGATCGTAGAGGATAAAATTGTATTATGTGTGATAGGGCTTAATACAGATACTTATTCTTTTGTTTTTTTTATTTTTATTTTGTTTCTCTCTCTTCCAGGTTTTGTGATGTCATAGTAAATTGTAAATGTTCACATAAAGCCAAAGTGTAATATAAGATTTTTTAAAAAGGGCCCTGCTTACTCAGTTTCATGAGCAAAAGCACTGCAATTCTGATTGCAGCTTTCTGGTAGAGTGATCATTGATGTCTCCCCATGCCCTGTCTTTATTCTCTCATCCAACTAATTTCCACATCCAGTAAAATGTACCTCCTAAATAATTTCCCATTTCTGCCTCTGCTTCCATTTTGACATCAGTGGGACCTAATTTAAGCCCTTGTCAATTTTATTCAGATTATTACAATATACTAACTGGCCTCTCTGCTATTACTGTTATTCCTTTCATCTCCATTTTCATTTTAGATTCTTGGGGTACATGTGCAGGTTTGTTACGGGGGTATAATGTGTGGTGCTGAAGTTTGGGCTTCTATCTATCCCATCACCAAGATAGTGAACATAGTACCCAATAGGAAGTTTTTCATCCCTTTCCTCCCTCCCTCTCTTCCTCCTTTTGGAGTCTCCACTGTCTATTATTCACATCTTTATGTCCACATAAACCCAAGATTTGGCTTCCATTTATAAATGAGAATGTGTAATATTTGGTTTTCTGTTTCTGTATTAGTTTGCTTAGAATAACGGCTTCCAGCTGCATCCATGTTGCATCTAGCTGCAAAGTACATGATTTTGTTCTTTGTTATGGCTACTTAGTATTCCATATTGTATATGTACCACATTTTCTTTATCCAACTCACCGCTGATGTAGCTATGTTAATTCCATGTCTTTGCTATTGTGAATAGTGCTGCAATAAACATAGAAGTGCATGTGTCTTCTTGGTAGAATGTTTTATTTTCTTTTGGGTATATACCCAGTAGTGGGATTACTGTGTTGAATGGTAATTCTGTTTTAAGTTCTTTGGAAAATCTCCACAGGGGCTGAACTAATTTGCATTCCCCCACACAGTGTATAAGTGTTCCCTTTTCTCCACAACCATGCTAACATCTGTTATTTTTTGATTTTTTAGTAATAGCCATTCTGACTTGTGTGAGATGATACCTCATTGTGGTTTTGATTTTCGTCTCTCTGACGATATTGAGCTTTTTTTCACATGCTTTTTGGCCACTCATATGGCTTCTTTTGAGAAGTGTCTGTTCATGTCCTTTGCCTACTTCCTAATGCAGTTTTTTTCTTGTTGATTTGTTTAAATTCCTGATAGAATCAGGATATTAGTCCTTTCTCAGATGCATAGGATGCAACTATGTTTTCCCATTCTGTAGGATGTCTGTTTGCTCTGCTAGTATTTCTTCTTCTGTGCAGAAAAAAATAGGTCCCATTTGTCTATTTTTATTTTGTTGCATTTGCTTCTGGGGTCCTTGTCACAAATTCTTGCCTAGGCAATGTCTAAAAGAGTATTTCCTAGGTTTTCTAGAATTTTTATAGTTTGAGGTCTTACATTTAAGTCTTTAATCTACCTTGAGTTAATTTTTGTATATGATGAGAGGTAGGGGTCCAGTTTTATTATTCTGCATTGGTTAGCCAGTGTTCCTGTGCCATTTATTGAATATGATGTCCTTTCTGCATTGTTTATTTTTCTCAACTTTGTTGAAGATCAGTTGACTATAGGTGTGTGACTTTATTTCAGAAGTCTCTATTCTGTTCCATTGGCTTATATGTCCATTGTTGTACCAATACCATGCTGTTTTGATTACTATAGGCTTGTAGTATAGCTTGAAGTCAGGTAATGTGATAACTCCAGCTTTGTTCTATTTTGTTAGGATTGCTTTGGCTATTTAGGCTCTTTTCTTGGATCCATATGAATTTGGGAATAGTTTTTTCTAATTCTGTGAAAAAAAGAGATTGGTAGTTTGATAGGAATAGTGTTGAATCTGTAGATTGCTTTGGACATTATGGACATTTTAACAATATTGATTCTTCCACATATTAACATGGAAAGCTATTCTGTTTGTTCTTGTTGTTTATGATTTCTTTCAGTAGTGTTTTGTAGTTCTCCTTGTAGAGATCTTCCTTGGCCAGATATATTCCTAGGTATTTTAACTTTTTTGTGGCTACTGTAAAAGAGATTACATTCTTGATTTGGTTCTCAGCTTGAATGTTATTGGCATATACAAATGCTACTGATTTGGGAAAATTGATGTGGTATCCTGAGTCTTTGCTGAAGTTGTTTATCAGGTCTAGGAGACTTTTGGTGGAATTTTTGGGGTTTTCTAGGTATAGAATCATATTGTTAGCAAAGAGAGATAGTTTGACTTCCTCTTTTCCTACTCAAATGCCTTTTATTTCTTTCTCTTGCCTAATTGCTCTGACTAGGACTTCCAGTACTATGTTGAATAGGAGTAGTGAGTGTGGACATCTTTGTCTTATTCCAGTTCTTAAGGGGAATGCTTATAGCTTTTGTTCTTTCAGCATGATGTTGACTGTGGGTTTGTAATATTTGGCTCTTACTATTTTGGGGTATATTCCTTCAATGCCTAGTTTCTTGAGGGATTTGATTGTGGAGGGATGTTAAATATTATTGAATGCTTGTTCTGGGTCTATTGATATGATCCTATGGTTTTTGGTTTTAATATTTTTATGAGGTGAATCACATGTACAGATTTGCATATGTTAAACCATTCTTGCATCCCAGGGATAAAATTCACTTGATTGTGGTCACTTAACTTTGTGATGTGCTGCTGGACTCAGTTTGCTAGTATTTTGTTAAGGATTTTTCCATCTATGTTCATTAGGGATATTGGCCTATAGTTTTTATTGTTGTTGTGTCTTTGCCAGATATTGGTATCAGGATGATGCTAGTTTCGTAGAATGAGTTAGGAAGGAATCCCTCCTCTACAATTTTTTGGTATACTTTCGGTAGAATTGGTATTAGCTTTTCCTTGTACATCTGGTAGAATTTGGCTGTGAATCCACCTGATCCAGGACTTTTTTAATTGTTTTTTTTTTTTTTGGTTGGTAGATTTTGTTATTACTGATACAATTTCATTACTTGTTATTGGTCTGTTCAGGATCTCTGTATCTTCCTAGTTCAACATTGAGAGGCTGTGTGTTTCCAGCAATTTATCCACTTCTACTAGATTTACTAGTTTGTGTGCGTAGAGATGTTCATAGCAGTCTCTAAGGTTCTTTTGTATTTTGATCAGTTGTGATGTCACCTTGGTTACTTCTGATTGTGCTTATTTAACTCTTCTTTCTTTCTTTTCTTTATTATTATTATTTTTTTAATGTGAGACAGAGTCTTGCTCTGTCACCCAGGATGGAGTGCAGTGGCACAATCTTGGTTCACTAAAACCTCCACCTCCTGGGTTCAAAATCAAGCTAGTAGACCATCAGTCTTGTTTATCCTTCCCCAAAAAACAAATTTTCATTTCATTGATCCTTTGTATGGTTTTTGGGATCCCAATTTCATTTAGTTCTGTTCTGATTTTAGTTCTTTATTTTCCTCTGCTGTCTTTCGGTTTAGTTTGTTCTTGACTTTTTTAGTTCTTTAAGTGCAAATTTAGTTTGTGAATTTTATATCTTTCTTTGTGTAGTAGGTGTTTCGTACTATAAATTTTCCTCTTAACACTGCTTTTGCCGTATCCCAGAAGTTTGGGTATGTTGCGTGTCTATTATCATTGTTTCAAATAAATTTTGATTACTACACCAATTTTGTTGTTTACCCAAAAGTCACTTAGGACTAAGTTGTTTAGTTTCCATATATTTATGTGGTATTGAGAGTTCTTCTTGGTATTTATTTTATTTTTATTCCGTTGTAGTCAAAGAAGATCCTTGGTGTGATTTTGATTTATTTTGAATTTATTAAGACTCGCTTTATGGCCAAGCATGTGGTCAATCTTCAAGCATGTTATATGTGCAGATGAAGAGTGTGTGTTCTGTTGTTGTTGAGTGGAGTATTCTGTAGATGTCTACTGCGTCCAATTCAATTGTCAAATTTAAGTCCAGAATTTCTTTTTTGGTTTTCTGCCTGTGATCTGTCTAATGCTGTCCGTGGGGTATCAAAGTCTCCCACTATTATTGTGTGGCAGTCAGTGTCTTTTCTTAGGTCCAGAAGTAATTGCTTCATAAATCTGAGTGATCCAATGTTGGGTGTAAATCTTATTATTGCATTGATCCATTTATCATTATGTAATGGCCTTTTTAGTACTGTTTTGCTGTTGCTGGTTTAATGTCTTTTTTAATCTGATACAAAAATAATAACGCATCCTCTTTTTTGTTTTCCATTTGCATGACCAATCCTTCTCTATCCCTTTACTTTGAGGCTATGGGTGTCATTGCATGTGAGATAGGTCTCTTACAGACAGCAGAGGATAGGTCTTCCCTTTTTATCTAATTTGCCACTCTATGTCCTTTAAATGGGGTATTTATGCCATTTACATTCAAGGTTAATATTTATATGTGATGTTTTATTCCTATAATATTAGCTAGTTGTTTTGTTGTCTCAATTTTTTAGTTGCTTTATAGGGTGTGTGGGCTATGTGCTTGTGTGTACTTTTGTGGTAGCAAATATTGTTCTTTTTTTTCCATGTTTAGAACTCTCTTAAAAATCTCTTGTAGGGCCAGTTTGGTGGTGACAAATTCCTTTAGCAATTGCTTGTCTTGGAAAGACATTAATTCTCCTTCAGGTATGAAAGTTTGTTTGTCAGGATATGAAATTCTCGGCTTGCATTTCTTTTCTTAAGAATGCTAAAAATGCATCCCAATCTCTTCTGGTTTAAATCATGAAATTAAGTCAGAAATCAATAGGTTCTTTGATACCAATAAAAACAAAGAGACAACCTACCAGAATCTCTGGGACACAGCTAAAGCAGTGTAAAGAGGGAAATTTATAGCACTAAATGCCAACATCAAAAAGCTAGACAGATCTCAAATCAACACCCTAGAATCACAACTAAGAGAACTGGAGAACCAAGAGCAAACAAACCACAAAGCTAGAAGAAGGCAAGAAATAACCAAGATCAGAGTGGAACTGAAGGAAATGGAGGCACAGAAAAACTCTTCAAAAAAATCAATGAATCCAGGGGATGGTTTTGTGAACAAAATAATAAAATAGAATGCTAGCTAGTCTAATAAAGAAGAAAAGAGAAAAGAATCAAATGGACACAATAAAAAATGATAGAGGGGATATTACCACTGACTACACAGAAATACAAACTACCATCAGAGAATACTTTAAACAGATCTATGCAAATAAACTAGAAAATCTAGAAGTAATGGATAAATTCCTGGGCATATGAACCCTCCCAAGGCCGAACCAGGAAAAAGTTGAATTCCTGAATAGACCAATAACAAGTTCTGAAATTCAGGCAGTAACTAATAGCCTACCAACCAAAAAAATCCCAGAACCAGATTGACTTCCAGCTGAATTCTACCAGTAATACAAAGAAATTCTACCAGAAATACAAAAAAAAAAAAAAAAAAAAAAAAAAAAAAATGCTATCCACGCTCATGGATAGGAAGAAGCAATATTATGAAACTGTCCATACTGCCCAAAGTAATTTATAGATTCAATGTTATTCCTATTAAACTACCATTGACATTCTTCACAGAATTAGAAAAACCTGTTTTAAAATTTATATGGAACAAAAAAAGAGCCAGTATAGACAAGACAATCCTGAGCAAAAAGAACAAAGCTGGAGGCATCACCCTACCGGACTTCAAAGTATACTATAAGGCTTTACAATAACCAGATAACCAAAACAGCACGGTACTGGTACAAAACAGACACATAGAGAAATGGAACAAAATAGAGAGCTCAGAAATAAGATTGCACATTCACAACCATCTGATCTTTGACAAACCAACAAAAACAAGCAATGGGGAAAGGATTCCCTATTCGATAAATGATGCTGGAATAACTGGCTGTCCATTTGCAGAGAATTGAAACTGGACCCCTTCCTCACACCTTATACAAAAATTAACTCAAGATGGATTAAAGACTTAAATGGTAAAACCCAAAACTCTAAAGATCCTAGAAGAAAATCTAGGCAATATTGTTTAGGAAATAGTCACAGGCAAAGATTTCATGATGAAATTGCCAAAAGCAATTGCAACAAAAGCAAACATTGACAAATGGGATCTAATTAAACTAAAGAGCTTCTGCACAGCAAAAGAAACTATCATCAGAGTGAACAGGCAACCTACAGAGGGAGAAAATCTTTGCAATCTGTCCATCTGACAAAGGTCTAATTTCTAGAATCTACAAGGAATTCAAACAAATTTACAAGAACAAACAAACAACCCCATTAAAAAGTGGGCAAATGACATGAACACACACTTCTCAAAAGAAGACAATCATGCAGCCAACAAACATATGAAAAAGATTTCAATATCACTGATTATTAGAGAAATGCAAATGAAAACCACAATGAGATACCATCTCATGCCAGTCAGAATGGCCATTATTAAAAAGTCAAGAAACAACAGGTGCTGGTGAGGCTGTGGAGAAATAGTAACGCTTTTACACTGTTGGTGGCAATGCAAATTAGTTCAACCATTGTGGAAGACAGTCTGGCAATTCCTCAAAGAGCTAGAACCAGAAATACCATTTGACCCAGCAATCCCATTACTAGGTATATACCCAAAGGAATATAAATAATTATATTACGAAGATTCACACACACACACACACGTATGTTCATTGCAGCACTATTCACAATAGCAAGAACATGGAATCAACCCAAATGCCCATCAGTGATAGACTGGATAAAGAAGATGTGGTGCCTATACAGCATGGAATATTATGCAACCATAACAAGGAATGAGACCATGTCCTTTGCAAGGACATGGATGAAGCTGGAAACCATTATCCTCAGCAGATTAAAGCAGGAATAGAAAACCAAACACTGCATGTTCTCACTTATAAGTGGGAGCTGAGTGATGGGATCACATGGACACGAGGAGGGGAACAACACACAGTGGGATCTGACAGGGGCTAGGGTGTGGGAAGGGAGAGTATTAGAAAGGATAGCTGATGCATGCTGGGCTTAATATGCAGGTGATTGATTGATAGGTGCAGTAAACCACAATGGCACATGTTTACCTATGTAACAAACCTGCATATCCTGCACATGTACCCCAGAACTAAAAATTTAAAAAAATTTAGAAAAAAAGAATGCTAAAAATGGACCCCCATCTTTTCTGGCTTGTAAGTTTTCTGCTGAGGAGTCACTATTAGTCTGATGGGTTTCCCTCTATAGGTAATATGATCCTTTTCTCTAGCTGCCTTGAAGATTTTTTCTTTTATGTTGACCTTCGATAGACTAATGACTATGTGCCTTAGAGATGTAGTCTTGTATGGTATCTTACAGAAGTTATCTGGATTTTTTGCATCTGCATGCAGACCTCTTGGGGACATTTTCCTGAATTGTATTCTCATACATGTTTTCCAAGTTGCTTACTTTCTCTTTACTCAGGAATACCAATAAGTCATATATTTGGTCGCTTTACATCCCATGTTTCTCAAAGGGTTTTTTCATTTTTTTTAATTCTCTTTTCTTATTTTTGTCTGATTGGGTTGATTCAAAGGACTAGTCTTTGAGCCCTGAAATTCTTTCTTCTGCGTGGTTTAGTATTTTGTTAAGGCTTCCAAGTGTATTTTGAAATTCCTGTAGTGAATTTTTCAATTCCAGAAGTTCTGTTTGGTTCTTTCTTAATATAGCTATATCATCTTTTAAATCTTGGATCATTTTTTCTGTTTCCTTCGTATTGGATTTCAACTTTCTATTGGATCTCATTGCATCTTTTTGCCATTCATATTGTGAATTCTATATCTGTCATTTCAGACATTTCATTCAAGTTGTGATCCATTGTTTGAGAGCTTGTGAGATCCATGGAGATGATGAAACACTCTGGATTTTTGTATTGCCAGAGTCCTTATGCTGGTTCCTTCTCATCTGAGAGAGCTAGCTGATGCTTCCTTTTTTATTTGAATTTGCTATCATTTGTATAGGGCTTTTCTATTTTTATTCTTTTTTCCCTTGGTGTGTGACTGTGGTGTACATTGTATATCATTTATTGGCTTCAATTCTGTGTGCTTTCAAGGTGCCAAGGCCCTGTGGGGGTTCCTTGGTTGCAGATAGTTTTGTGCAGTGGCTTTTCAGACATAGCATGTTGTAGTGATATAATTTTGTTTCAGGATATAGTTCAAGCTGTGGTCCAGTAGGTGGCACTTAAGAGTAACAGCTAGCAGGTAGGAGCAGGAGCAGAGGTAAGAGAGAAGCATGAAAAGTGCCCTCCCCGGCCCCATGCATATTTGCCTTTAGTGGGGGTGGAGCTCCCCCACCCTAATGGGAAGAGCTGCCGCTGAGTCCACAACAGTGCACTGAGGTTGGGGGCAGGAGACGAGAGATGGTTTTCTCTCCACATCTATTACTAGACTATAATGGTGCTTCCTCCAGGAGCTTGTGCCACTCCCATGTTTCCTTTGATCCAAGACAGACTGGTGAGCTATGCACCCCCCTCCATTAGAGGCAGATCATGCTGAGGGTTAGATCTCTGGTTTCGGGTATTTTCAGAGGGAAAGAGTCTGTGTAAGTTCCTTGATTATGTATAGCCCTTATATGGTGGCTTACCCAAATGCTAGTTGTGGTAGTGATGTACTAGGCATTTGAGCAGAATCACAGTGTCCTGTGGGTCCCAGGTGGCAGCAGTCTCAGGAATATTATCTTATTCCCCAATGTTAATGCACTTGTGTCAGATTTCCTATTGTTTTGTACTGCTGTTCAACCTCTAGACCAGTAAATGACTCTTATGAGTAAGAGCCAGCTATAGCCAATACAGGTGGTATATACTTGACTCTTGTTTACTGAGAGATCTCTGTCACCTCATACAATGGGCTAATCCATGGAGTGCACAGTGGTCTGATCTCACTGCTCAGCCCTGGGAGACCAAGATGGGTGGGGCCAGACTGGGCAGGCAGCCCTACAAGTCACCCAATTGCAGACACAGACATCAGATCTGTGGAGGGGGGAGATGGGGCAGCCAGCAAGTGCCCAGAGGGTGCCTAGGCATGGAGCTGGGAAACATCCTTAGCCCCAAATTCTCTGCATGGGGGCCTCTGGAGGTGACCTAATCTCCTAATCCAGAGGAATGGATGCTCTGAATGCCTGGAGGTCTGCCTGAGTATGGAACAGAGGGGGCTCCACTGCACCACAATCTCAGGAGAGCAGGCTGGGGCACCCAGCAATGACACACACAGGCTGCTTCCAGGTCGCCAGGCTGGTCCTGGCTGCAAGTCTTTTTGCCCAGGAGAAACCACTGCTGTGGCATTTCTCCTCCTACTCTGGACCCGTGAAGGGGGAGAGTATAATTCCAGCACCTACTGCTGGGTGCTTTCAACACTCATTGCTCAATTCTGGCTGTGGAGGCCCTTTCTCCACTCCAGAATAAGCGCTCCAATCTCTGACCCAAGAATAAAATGCCTGCATAGTAGGAATTTAAACAAATCAACAAGAAAAAAATGAGCTGCACTAGAAAGTGGGCAAGGGACATGAACAGACACTTCTGTCTGGATTAGAAATTATCAAAGGACATAAACAGACACTTCTCAAAAGAAGACATACAAATGAGTCACAGTGGGGAGACTGTCTACCCCTCTTATGTACTGGGGCTTGACTCACTTTTATCAACCAGATGCCGTCACGGAGGCTGTTTGCTCACTTTCTCCTCCCAAGGATCTGGGATGTCCTTTGCTATTCCAATGGATTCCCATTTTCCTTCTTGAATTAGAGCTCACACTTTAAGCATGATTTTGCAATTTCCAAATGGCTGAGGAATGCTAAAAGCCTCTAATCCACCATCTTCCAGACATTTCTTCTATTATTATTTTTTTAAAGCTTGCAGCACTCCAGATTCCAAGGCAATCTCCCATCCACGTCCTACTCAGGCCTGCCCCTGCTTAGCTCCTGAGCTCAGATTAGATCAGGCATGTTCAGGGTGGTATGATCAGAACCCTGACATTATTCATCATCATTTTAAAGCCATTTTTTATACTGTACACAGAATTATCTAATTAAAAAATCAAGCCTGATACCGTCCTAACAAAAATTTTTGTTGGCTCTCTAACACCACAGGATTAATTGTTCTTGCCATGACATTGCCTACAATAATCTGGCAATTTTAAACATCTCCAGCTTCATCAGTGCCCACTCCCAGCTCTAATTTTATTTTTTTAATGTCATGAAACGACTTACCATTTCCCTGCCACAATTTGCTATTCCTCATTTGGGTCTATGCCTTTGTTCATGCTGCCTTCTCTTTCTGGAATGCTCTCCCATTCCAAACCTTTATTCACCTAATATATTCCTATCTATTAATTCTCATCTCAAGATGTCTTCACTGATGTAATCAGGTGGGATGATGCCTCTTTTCTTCCCTACCATAGCAGATACACTTATATTTACCATAGTAAATATTTTGTTTAAATTCCTACTATGCAGTGCTGAATAAATTACATTTTCAGTCTTCTATTCGTAATCTCCGGAGTAAGCTTTTGTGTATTCCATCTCTCCCTTTCCAAATGAGACCCTGAAGTTTGGAGTGAAATATACCTCCATCAGAAGTTTAGAATGAAATATAGCTCACCCTCAGGCCTAGGGGATGGGCCCTGATCAGCTTGAGACAATCAGCTTATCCTATCTTCCTCATCTCTGGGATAACTTGGTCCCATCGTTTTCATCAGGGATGACCAGGAAACCCAAGCACCTGTACCTGGCACCCCTCTGAAAACAGTAATGGTTTATGGATGGACTAATTGAAGAGAATCTCAGCACTTTTGCTGGGAATTACAGAATGTTGACGTCACTTCTTCTGCTCAGCTTGATGGTGAGAAGACGTGATATTTGGAACTGCTGTAGTCTCGGTGAGAGAGTCTGAAGCTGTCAGAGGATCCTCATGTGGAGCCTGAATGTGGATGCCACTTGAGGAAACAGCATTACCCACTCCTTCGTGTCGGTGACATTGCTTTAGTTCAGAAACAGATAGCACGAGATATTAGAGTATCTGCTCAATAATATTTATGCCCCAAATTTCCCTTTTGCTAAGCAAGTTTGGGTCTAAGATTTCTTTTTTCTGTTTCACTTACAACCAAAAGAATTATAATACTAAATATCCTCCATAGCTTATGAGTACTTCGAAGACAGACATTGTGCTTTACTCATTTTTGTTCCTTCAATGTCTCATGAGGTCCCTAACCCATAAAAGGATCAGAATAAATAATTTCTTAACTAATAAATATATTTGCAGCACATCCTGAAATTATTCTATAATGTAAAGCTTATCTAAATCAATATATTCACTCAAATTGAAAAAGACTGACCTTCCCCCCTATGTATTGAAAATAGAAATTCCCCAATGTTGAACTAGTTATGTAACCAATGATAAATAGTGCATAGTAGAATTTTGACAGTCACTTCTAATATAGGAAATTATGATAATGTTATACCTATGGAAAATGTCCCTTTCCTCTTGCTTAATTTTTTCTGGGTCTCTATCACCTTCTCATCTCTCCTATCTTACATTGTTCCATGTTCCATTTACAATTCTACACAATACTTGTTTTCATATGTTCAGCTGTTTATTCCCACTTAAAAATATTATTGTTTGCTCTGACTGTGATTATTAAAAAGTTTCATTTTAGGTTCAGAGTATTCATTTAAGGTATTTATGTAGCTCTAACTACTATAGCTCTAATACAATACTTCTCAAGTTTGGGCAATACTGTTAATGCCAGTGTCACATTGGACAATGTCTGTTGTTTGTTGCCTGTTATCCTGAGAAGAAATTCTCTCTTTGTAAGTCTGTACTAGAGGAATTTCATTGTTTTGCACTGAAACTCTCCTTCACCCATGTGAATGGGAAAAATTATAAAGTCAGTCCCAACTTTTTTTTGCCAAAATCGCTATAAGTGTTTCTACCAGTTTATGGTTCCAGCAGTTTTCACTACAGGTCAGCAGATCTCAATTGCTGTATCTTTCGGGATTTACCTGTCTCCCTAGATATGAAGGCACCAGTCAGTTTACCCTGCTACCTCAGCACTCCGAAGGGTGAAAGAATAGCCATTGATTTTCCGTTTGTTCATGTTTTCATGTAAGGGTGAAAGTGATGACTTCCAAGATCTTTACATGTCTCAGGTAAAACCACAAGTCAGCTTAGGCTTTTTGAAGGTAAAGACAATTTTATCTGGGATTAGAGATAAACTTCCCTGCTTCCTATGAACTGCTAATCCTATTATATTTTCAGTGTCACTAAATATGTCTGTGAGTTCTCAGGGACCATGATTTTAACTTTTAAGGGTTTCATACAAATGCTGGCGAGGATGTGGAGAAAAGGGAACTCTTGTACACCATTGGTGGGAATGTAAATTAGTACAGCCACCATGGAGAACAGTTTGGAGGTTCCTCAAAAACACTATAAATGGAGCTGCCATATAATCTAGAAATCACACTGGAAGGTGTATACCCAAAAGATAGGAAATCAGGATATTGAAGAGACATGTGCACTCTCATGTTTGTTGCAGTGCTGTTCACAATAGCCAAGATTTGGAAGCAAACTAAATATCCATCAAAAGATGAATGGATAAGGAAAATGTACATACACACAATGGAATACTATTCAGCCATAAAAAAAGAATGATATCCCGTCATTTGCAACAACATGGATGGAACTGGAGGTTATTATGTTAAGTGAAATAAGCCAGGCACAGTAAGACAGACATCACATGTTCTCACTTATGTGTGGGATCTAAAAATAAAAACAATTGAACTCATAGACATAGAGAGTAGAAGTATCATTACCAGAGGCTGGGAAGGGTAGTGGGAGATGAGGGGGAGGTTTGGGATGGCTAATGGGTAGACAAAAATAGGAAGAATGAATGAGACCTAATATTCGATAGCACAACAAGATGACTATAGTCAATAATTCAAATGTACATTTTAAAATTACTAAAAGTATAATTGGATTGTGTGTAACACAAAGGACAAATGCTTGAGGGTATGGATACCCCATTCTCCATGATGTTATTATTATGCATTGGATGCCTGTGTCAAAACTTCTCATGTACCCCATAAGTATATACATCTACTATGTACCCACAAAAATTTAAAATTAAAATTTATTTAAAAAATAATAATAAGATAATAAATTGAAAATTCATCTATTAATAAAAGTGACTTTTATGCCTACTATCAGGGATTTAAGGGATTTTTTTTTTTTTAGGAATCATATTTGAAAAAATAAACAACTGCTTTCCTAATAGTTTTAACACTCATGTGCTAGTTGTGATACCTGCCTGGCCAAAACTTGATCTAATGGAAATAGTTCTGACTGGATGGCCACTTATCATGGATTGTTCCACCAAGAAAGAAATGGAGATTCTGACTTAATGGATAGGAGTTTCAAAGGTCAGAGTATCAAGGCACTAGTAACAGGAGAGGTAGCTAAAAAGATATACTAACTGAGTTTATTATGTAAAGGAGCTGTGATGAGGGGTGTGATCACAACTGAGCCAAACCTGAGGAAGCAGAATATAAGAGCAGGCAGATGCTCAGAGGCATTAACAGAGGGCACTATAGTGGGAAAAGGCAACCAAAATCCAAAGAGTAGCCAAGAGGGAGAACTGAATCCCACCAGCAAGATTTCAGGGGCCAAGCTCTCCTGCTGCTAGGATCCCAGAGGGGATGTGAGGTTTTTACTAATACCTCCAGCCCCACCAGCATCATCATCAGCATCAATTCTTACATCATTGAAGCTCGACTCTATTGTAGTTCCAGCTGCCACTAAGATCTGCTTGGTTCATTTTCCTAGTTTGTTTGTTTTTATAAGACCTACTTGGCTAAAGACCTTGATTTTTTTATTCCAAAAGGCATCCAGACAATAAACACCTCTACCACTTAAAATAACTTGATCAACTCTCTGCTCTGCTAAACTAGCATAATCTAATGAAGAAATTATGATCTTAGTCTTAGAGTTTATGCAAGGGTGGAAAAGTCAGCCAAAATGTCAAATTTTAAGTAACAAACATTTTTCTAGCATTTTAATCTAGAACCCCTTTCAACATCTTTTCTATCTTCCATATTAATATGTTTTTAGTGGACTCTTATCATTCATTGCCCAGCATCCATGATGGAAATTAATATGATAAAACAAATGTCAATGCATTAGTGGATGTTAAGGGTGGGTTAATGTGTCAGCCTTTCTTTAGATAATATATATGCTTTTGAAAGGGTTTTTTTTCTACAATAGAAGTGGAGGCTGGAGTCAGATAAATAATTTTTGTCATGGTTATAATTAAGACAATCTAATTTTTTAGCACATACTAGTAGCCTAGAAAAATAAGTTGTTTATCTTACACCTTTCTACAATTGGGTATTTCACCTGTAAGGTTTCAATAATTGTTAATTGAAACTATTTTAATCAAATCAATGACATTTTGACAGAAAAGAGCCCTCTATTTTGTGCATTTGTCTCACAATGCAAATTTATAAGCCCTTTAATATTCACTTCTACATGCTTCTCCAGATTTCTTGCATACAGCCCTCTTATATCCATTTGCTATTTGTAAGATTTCATGGTTGCATTTTCTGTGTTAACATATCACAATTTGTTCTTCCATGAGATAATAAAACACATATTTCAAAATTTTTCTTTACCTATTAAACATCTTTTTTCCCCTGATTTGGAAACGTCCTTGACGTTATCCAATTTCAAAGATTTAAGCTAATCCAAAGAAAAAGCAAAAAGTCAAGAATGTTTCAAAGGTTTTTTTAAAAGGTTCAACCTAGAATTTAGAATACTTGACTTTCACTTAATTTTTGGAAGCTACATTGAATTACTGATGAAGAAATCCTTCCTTTCCACCTTCCTTTCATCTTTCCTTTGTTTTGTACCCGATGATTTCTTAAAATTATGCCCAGAGAATCCCTTAAATATTCTGCAGAGATTCTCAAGTGCCCTCTCATGTAATAAGACCAACAGGTAATGTAGTGACAAAAATCTTGTGAATAAAAACTCTCACTACTTACAACAGAAAGTCTAAAGTCATTGTCATGAAATATAATGTAGTAGATGCCCATATACTTTCAGTCCTAAAAATATCACACAAACATTGAACAACTACTGCCACGAGGAAATCAATATATCTGAATAAATATCAGTATGATTGTATAATTTAAAACTCAAAATGAATGCCACTACTTTTGTTTAATCAGTTTTATTGTTTAATCCATCTTGACAATGAGGTACATTTATTTTCCAAAGAGCTGTAGGATCATTGTCATATGGTGAGTGATTCCATAAGATGGTTCAACCTCCACTCAGGGAGTTGATCACACTTCCACAGTGCAAGACCATTAAGTCATTTTTGTTTCCTCCCTCAGTACCTGCCCTCCAAAATGCATACTCTGCAGGTAAATCCACAGGACATAGTCAAAATGTCCAAATGTTCTCTAGAGTAATCCAACCCTGCATACTGATCAATCAGAGAATACTTTGTCTTGCATACTGATCAACCTTGAAAAATAAAGTTCACTAGCAATGAAATGGAGAAGGAAAGCAATAATCTGTTTAAATTTGGACCTAAACATGATTTGCCTGAAACATCTAGACAATTTCATGGAAGTAGAGCTTGAGATATATATATATTTAAATTTTCTGGGTAATTGCTTTGGATCTTTTCTTTTTGCTAGCATAGACCTTGGGAAGGTCACATTAGTCCCACAAACCTGTAAAGGAGTAATTTGAAATGCCATAAATAACAGAATATGTGGGCACATATTTATTAGGGTTCCTAAAATAAAAATAAAAATCATATATTTATATGCTTTGGGGCTATAGGTGATTATCACTGTGCAAAATATTGTACCATGTATTCAATTTCTATAGCATTTCTTTTAGCATACTATGATTTATAATCCTATAAAAGCTCATCTATTGCAAAAACCTTTGGAGAAGTATGTAGTGAGAGCCAAATGGAAGAAAAATCTGCTTTTTAAGGAATATATAAATGCATCCTAAGTGCACACCATTTGATTCATATACAGCAGCTTTAAAATGCAGCATACAGTTCACAAGCTATTGGTAGACATGCCTATCTGAAAGCAGGGATAAATATGTGATGGAATATTGGAAACTTTGATAAAGTATAATTGGTATCAAAAGTCAGTAGTTATAAAAATTATTTATTACTTATTTAGCCAGGCTTCTCTAAGTCTGTTTTTGCTAACATTTAAAGAAGCAAAACAAAACCTTAGTCTTACAGTAAATTTCTTTCTTTTTTATGTTTTCTGTTATATTTCTAACTTGTATTCTAATTAGGAACTTCCATAGATCAAGAACCAACAGCTTCCTTCAGCAGCTGGACTCCTATCTGAGTGTGTTGTGTGTGTAATAGCTTCAGTAATTTCCTTTCTTTTCATGTGTCTTTTCTCTATGTTGGCTGCATTGTTTAGAATGAGATTTCCTTTACAGTCAGTACCAGGTTTTGGATATCTAACTTGATTTATAAGCTCTCTATATTTTTATATTATTTTAAACGTTACTAAAATTTTCTCGGATCTAACTGGTTTTTGCCAAAGCTCTTTATTCTCATCATTATTCTAATATAAATTCAAACATTTAAAATAATCATTAATATTTTATATAGTATGATATTTAACAAATAGTTGACATTAAACTTTAAGATGCATGTTGTTTTCAAAATCTGACATAATTTTTATTATTCTCTTTCATAACAGAATACAGAAGGTATGTTTAAAGTAATAAAGAATATTCATTTTAGATTTTAAAGATCTTCAAATGTAAAGAAAATCAGAAATGAATGAAACATTTAAGTATAAGTTAAAGGAACTGGAATTTTTGTCGTGGAGTAGCGTGGTTAAGATATAAGCCAACCAATCAGTGCCCTGATACAAAATTTCAGTCTAGGCTTAAACAAAAAGACACCACTTCTCATTTCTGTCCCCTCACTGCCCTTCTGTGGACTTACTTCTTTTTTGTGTAGGTCATTCTAACCTAGGTATACAGATAAAGTTGCATTTTCACAAAAGGAATTCATAGCAAATATTGATGGACACAGTCATGTCCATGCTCTACAGATTCATGAAAACATCATGAAAAAAAGCCTAATTCTGGACGGTAAACACTATACTATTATATATATATTAGTCTTTTACTACAAAGAACTTTGAACTGCAGGCAAAAAGGCTTGAATTTAAAGACTTTTCTGCTCTAGAATAACGTCTATTGTTCAAAGTCTCATAACTCATTAAAAATATCTGTCACTTCAAGAAAATTTCCCTAATTCTTTCCCCAAATCAAAATGATTGAGAATCTAAGAGAATGAAAGAAGGAATGACATTTTATAAGATAAGAACTAATTTTCATATATAGAATTAAAGAGTTAATATAAAGAAGCAACTTAGAGATCATTAGGTTCAGAACATTCTTTTCACTTGCTAATTGGCTTGGGCTTTGGATAACTAGACAATGTGACTTACTGGCAATGCCTTTAAAAAAACTGCCTTAAAACAAAAATCAAATATAAAAATAACAATCACCAGTATGGTCTTCTTTAAGAGTCCAAACCTTTGGAAGGCAGAATGATTTTGTGTGACACTGATTCCTTTAGCTCAATGAAGGACAGGCAGTGATGAAGAAATACGCAGCCAGGTCAGAAGGAAACTGCAGCCACTTTCTCTTTAGCAACAGCAAGTTTGATTCTGAAATCAGGTTATAGAGAAGGGGTAGAAGAAGAAAATTAATTTCCTCTTTCTTTCTTGTGTTTCTAATAATAGTTATCATTTATTAAGTGTATTCTGTCAAATACCATAATAGGTGCTTTAAATATATTATTTAATTTAAGCAGAGAAGCAATCTTAGAAAGTTTAATATTTTTATTTTCATTTGCAGATAAGTACATTGAGGCTTAGGTAGATTAATTGACTGCTTGAGGCCACACAGCTTATAGTGGCAGAGCCAGAGTCAAAGCACAGACATTGACACTGAGGTCCATTTTATTCCATTCCATTATGCTGTTAGGGTACTTTGGTTGCAGGCAATAGAAACTGACTCTGGTTAATGTAATGTACGCAAAAAGGAAACTCATGGGAAGGCTATAGGGAAAATCATAGAATCAAAAGGAAGAGTAAATTTAAAAGCTGGAAAAACCCAAAAGACTTGGTGGAAGGATTTCTAGAAGACACCATATCACACCTCCTTGAGTGAGCTTTAAACATTGTCAATAATTATGTTCCTGTGACAGGATTATATTCCAAGGACCAACTTGCCTAGGTCTGGTCACCCACCCGGTAAGAAGGAGAGCTTACACTTTGGCAAGATCTCACAAGAGTGTGTCCAGTGAGAGAGAAATAATTCAAAAGGAAATTAGAACGTTTTCACCTCCCCTGAAAATTGAGTGATTGGTTGCTAGTTTGCTTTTTAAAAAAATTTAAAAAGCCCATGGCAGCTCATATAAATTTTTCCTATTATGAAAGGTTCTTTAGTCTTTTATATGTTACAAAACTATAGATTTACTAAAGGCTCCACATCATCTTCCTTTCCTTCCCCTGTGTCCCTTCTGCTGCACTTAGAGCAACACACTCCATCTTGGGGGTATTCCTAGGTTATAGAGAGGTGCATATTAACACCTTAAAGGTACACATTGGAGACACCGTGTTTCAAGCTTCTACCAATCGATATCCAGGTTGCCTTTATTTAGAAAATAAAGCACCGTCTTTGGAGTTAGGCAACAATAAGAACAGCAATTATCACCAATGCTTAAACAAAGCACTTATTAATGCCGAATATTATTCTAAGAGTGTTCCGTATTCTAACTCATTTAATTTTCACAGCCCTATGGAAAAGGTACAGATGAAGAAATGAAGACTAAAAACACTTGCTTCAAACTAAAGACCTGCTACATTACCAAATAATTTGAGTAAGTCATCAGCTTTGACTGAATCAGTTTTATCATTTGGGATAAGATAGTGTCTCACTCATCGGTTTCATATGACGAAATAAAATAGTGCATTTAAAGTTACAACACAAGTCATTGATGAATAGAAGGCACCAAGTCTTCTTCCTGCAAACTAACAAACAGCCAATATGATGAGCTATATTAGCTCCCATAATTACTCCTTTTTTTCAGGAGCCTTATCAAGAACAAAAACTTCAAGTCCAATATTCAGTGTAAGATGCAAAAAGTTACAATTTATTTCTACTTTAAACAAATCATCACTTTATTTCAAAAAGTCTTTATTTCTTACATGAAAAAGTAAGTTCACAATATATATGTTTCTGGATGACAAAATTTATTTTATAATAAATAAATAAAGATTGGGGTGCAATTTTGGCAGAATTGATAACACAAAATCTATGTCACTGTTTGACAAAGTTGTGATGTCTATATTCATGAGTAATGGAATTAAAATACCTATCAAATCATGGAGTTTGAGGAAAAGTGTTTTGGGAGAAGTAACTAGAATACCTATATGTGATAATATTAAACAGTACAGCTTCTTTTTTATAGTAGAACTCTATTATTTGTATTTAATTGTATTCAAGGATGACAGGAGAGAAAGAAGACAAGCAGGGAAACAAATAATGGAACTGTGTTCAAATTATACAGCTAGCATAGAAAGAAAATGACTAAATCTGTACAGGGATAGCATCCACAGAGAGAAGGTAATATTGGAGCTTGGATTTGAAGAATGAACCAGAAGCAAGAAGAAGGCCAGTCAGAAGGAAAAGCATGAACAGTGGCTTGGGGTACTAAGAAAGCCTCCGGCCATTGTGTCTTCTGCAACTCCAACTGTGAAAGGAATGGCGAAAAGCAGGAAACAAAGCCAGAGACAGGAAGGGCATTACCAAATTCTTATATAGCGTGCTCATCATGTTTTCTGTAATACATTCTTTATAGCTTTACTCTCCACTGTCAGGAAAAAAATGATGAAAACCTATTGTCTTACGAGCAAGACAAAGAAACCATATTTTTTTTTTATTCCCTCAATACCTCTGACATTGTCTTAAGAGTAAAAGCGACAGTAAGGTTCAGAAAACAAAATAACTTGCACCGTGGCCATTTTTCCACAGGCAGAATGTAGAATGGAATCATTAGGAAGTAATCTGTAAAGTTAAAGTGTTTTAAAGAACAAGAAATTTGAGCTCAAAGAGATGAAATACCTGCTTTGCTCAAATCACTAAGTGAATTAGGGATGGAATGTGAAAGAAATCCCAGGTCTCCAGACTCTGATTTATGTTCTCAACATTATACCACACTTCCTCTAAATATCATAATAAATACTTTACATATATACTCAAATGTGTGAATATAGAACATATATATATATATGTAATTATAGACTTAAAATATAAACCAACATATAGTTGATTGACTAAATCCAAACTTGTGTATTAATTTGTAAAATAATACACATATGGTGGATCTGGATACTTTCAGGACATGAAAGAAATCTGATGGGAGGGTTTGGAAACACTTACACTTTTTTTTCCCTTGGTTTTATCAATACTGAGCTGGGGGTACCCTGGAAAATAATTACTACCTTTTCTCCATCCTGTAGACCACCTTCTAGCCTTTGTGACTTTGGTAAGATGGAAGCAAAAGCAACTTTTGTCTCCTGTAAACTCTGCTTAAGGTCTTCAGAAACATTTTTTTCTCTTCTTCTTTTTTGTTTAATTTTTATTTTATTTATTTATTTATTTTACTTTAAGTTCTGGGATACATGTGTAGAACATGCAGGCTTGTTACATAGGTATACATGTGCCATGGTGGTTTGCTGTACCTATCAACCCGTCATCTAGGTTTTAAACCCCGCATGCATTAGGTATTTTTCTCTTTTTAATCCAATTTTCTGTTCATTACTCTCTGATGTTTACTTTGTTGCTTCCTTAAAAGTTAAATTGCAAGATGCTTTTTTCTGACATTGCTTTCCACCAATAAAATTTAATTCCCCTCCTTTGCCTTCCAAAATACCCCATCCATATTTGTATCTTAGTGTCCATAACACTGTATTGCCCTTAATCATAGTATTAAGCTAAGCTCCTCCTGAAATTGTGGTGAAGTAACACATGGTATTATATTTCTCCATTATGCTAAGTCGTCTGTGGACTTGGTGACTCTTTAGGGCAACTGTTTTTACATGACTGCTCAGGGACTCAGATACCTTGGCAACTGTTTTCACATGATAGCTCAGGGACTCAGACACCTTGGACATGGTAGCCACACTCTCCATAACATGTGGCTTTCATGGCGAAGAGAGCTACAGATTTTCACACTGACTTTTATATGCTTTGGTCAGAAAATGTTAACTGAAATGTTCTTTCATAGACTATTTTCTAGAATTGGCCATACAGCCATACCAAATTACAAGAGAGGTTGGAAATAAGCAGGAATACGTGGATATTCACTGAGCCGCAAGTATCTTGGCCACATTGATTTTCATTTGTCATCTCTCCACTAGTTTCATGAGGGCAGGAACTACATCCAGTACTCTCTTTAAGACCTACTTAATTTTGGATCCAGTCTCCAAATGTATGGTTCATGGAAATTCAATTTCTCCTCCAAATTGATGCAAAATCCTAACAAATTACATTCCTGCCTTGATGTTTGCACCCTCCATCCCAGATTACTTGTATATAACATTTACCCCAAACCCAGTTTACTCAATTACAGAAAATTAGCCCTTCCCTGAATTGCAAACACACACACAAATGCAGAATAGCAAAAATGAAAACAGCAGTAAGAGGTACACAAACACATGCCTTTGTGAGAGTAGGTTACGTTAAAGAAGTTGTGTTGGGTTTTGGAAAGAAGGGAAGAAGAAATGGAGATGAGGCTTACATCTCAAAATGCCAACAAAAACAAAAACCTCAAATTAAATGTTGGGCATCCATATTCTGGAACAGGTCCTTTGGCCACTCACTTCAGAAGAATTGCATCCTTTTCCTCTTTGCTTCCTCTGCCTTGCTGCACATTGTCTCAGTCTTCCCTCTTCCTCCTCTCCTCTTCCGTGTTTGCTCATCCTTCTGCTTATCTGTTCTTCCTCCAAGCAAAACAAAAGCCTCATCTCATTTCCTGAAGAGGAGTTTACCACACATATTCCCTTTGTTTCTAGAGCTCCTGCTTGTACATATCCCTTTAAAATCTCATCTATACCTTCAGCTGTATATGCAAGGCATTCTAAACGAAGATAGTTCTTTCCTTAAGAGGGATTTTGGTATCACTATTGAGAAATATTGCATTTCCGTTCCTGGTGCCTTGATATTTACTGTGGTTAAATAAAAATCTTTTGTTTGATTAATGAATTTGTTGAAAAGTGAAAAGCACACATTCAGACAGCTAGTTTTGTAATATTTTATATATAACAGCTACCATTTTATTCTTATGTTCAACATCACTAGAACACATCACCAGATTTCCACTTGAGATTCTGGCAATGTCTTTCTGCATAAGCTCTCTCAATGCAGTTAATTATACTATAAACTTTGTGTATTATATAATCACTTGAAGCATGTGATACCCCATAAAACAGATTTGTCCGAGCATTATCCAAAAATAAAAAAAACTTTAATGTTAAGCTTTAAAAAATTTTAACAACTTTAAAGATAATTAAGAACTTTAATTGTATTATTAATTACAAACATATATTTTGCATCAATTGTATGGACAGATGACAATTATTCCTAAATAAAATATTTAATATGTAAACCACATTTTTTTCATGAATTATAATAACAGTTTTTTATTGTTTTTGGTGTTTTGTTACACCATTTGAGTGTATACAAGAATATACAAGAATATATGTTTCTTTTTATTTTATTTTCTTTAAAAAGTGTATGTTAAGAGAAGGACTCTTTGTGTACTGCAAAAATGTAACAAAAGGTGAGAAATTAATAATGTAACATAATCCTTATACACTTGAAATAAGAGGCCACCTTTGTAGAGTTCTTAATGTGTGGTAGAAATCCACTTTCATACTCAGGAGCAGCGTTTAGTAATTTTATAATTAAAAAACAAGGTAATGAATTAGGGTTAAGAGTTAAGTTGCTGCAACAAGAACAAAAACGTCTAACATTGCTTGCTGAAATAACCACGTGGTTTTTAGTTTTGGTTTTGTTTATGCAGCAAGGCTTTTTTGCATGTGGTCATTCAGAAACCCGTGCTTCTTCCATTTTCTGTTATCCCCAGTGATGTATCCCTAATATCCAGGAAAGCTGTGTCTCAGGCACATCTGTGCTCTTGATCTTGTGAAGGGGCAGGTATAGAGGAGGAAGAACACCATCGCAAGCTGTGACGCAGCTTTGACTCAGCAATGTTTTAAGGACCAGGTCTGGAATTGGCATCCATCACTGATGCTCAACTGCGACTGATAAGAATTTAGTCACATAACCACAGTTAACTGCAAGAGGCTGGGAAAACTAGCAAACGTGGTTCCTAGTAAGACATGCCATCAACAACTCTATTACTATGAAAGAAGGTGAGAACTTACTTGGCTAGAAAAGGAGCAATCTTTGTCATGGTAAATTAAAGCAGAGGATGGTAGTGAGAAGGATGAGGATGAGGATAAAGCAGACCTATCATGACCATTTTATTTTAACTTAAATCCAAGTATGTATTTATTCATTAATCTTTTGCTATAGGACAAAAGTTTTTTCTCTGAAAAATGGGTCTACCTCAAATAGAATCCAACATAATCTTTCTTTCATAAATACTTAAAATGCATTCTCCAGGATTCTCTGCAATTCCTTACAGTGAAGCCACAATTTGAAATCATTTTCAAAGCAAAATAATTACAAAAATACTTCTAGATTTGCATTATTTTCTGCATTTTTACAGTTATCTTGTCTCTATCTAATTTGACACCATAATAATAACTTATTTTCATTAAGTTTTGTAATTTTTTACTTATTTAAAAAATCTTCATTCAATATTTTATGAAATTACATTATTACAGGGGCTGGGTGCAGTGACTCACACCTGTAATTAGAGCACTTTGGGAGATCGAGGCAGGTGGATCACCTGAGGTCAGGAGTTCAAGACCAGCCTGGCCAATATGCTGAAACCCCATCTTTACTAAAAATACAAAAGTTAGCCAAGCATGGCGGCATGCCCCTGTAATCCCAGCTACTCAGGAGGCTGAGGCAGGAGAATCGCTTGAACCCAGGAGGCAGAGGCTGCAGTGAGCCGAGCCGAGATCATGCCACTGCATTTCAGCCTGGGCGACAAAGCAAGACTCCATCTCAAAAAAAAAAAAAAAAAAAATTACGTTATTACAATAATAACTACCACTGGCAAAACAGATTTAAGAACAAACAACTGACTCTGCATAGGCAAATGGCTCACCCAGCAGGAGCAGACAGGACATAGAAATTCTAGAAACTTTCCTAAAGTTGTGAACTGCTCCTGTGCAAGGGAATACTGAATGTCAGTTAATTTAAGGGGGTGTTTAAATGGCAGAGTTTTTAACCACAATCAGAGATATTTCTCCATAGTGGCGTATGGTCGTACAAATAATTGGAGAATAAAGCATTTTTCTGATGATTATTGGTAAAAGGTTGTATACAGCTCCAGAGCTGAACTAAGAATATACCTACATCCAGACACCCGCAAGAACTGCGGTACTGTATCTATCTCAGTTTTCTCTAACTACAGGTTTGCCATATAACAGTATAATTATCCCTGAGAATTTTGGCCATGTGGTAGGTGATATCTAGTGATTGTTTTCTTCTTTAAATATGACATGTAACTCCAAGAATCAGGGAAACATTAATATCGTAGTAACACGACTATTTTTTAACAGCCCTGAAAACAATGTTCCCCATCTGATAAGGGTAGAAATATTTTCACATACATACCAGGCTCATTCTTTAATTCAATACTTCTCACACTGTGCTTCTTGAACCAGCAACATTATTAACACTGAAGAACTTGGTAGAAAGAAAAAGAAAAAAATCTTAGATGCACCCAGATCTACTGAAATTCTGGGATGGGATGCAGCAATCTGTTATAACAAGTCTTGAAAGAGCTCTCAGAGGAGAGTTAGGGCAGGTTCCCCAACCTCCAGCACTCTGTACCTACATTTCAGCAACACAACAGGTTCTTGTGCTTTCGTGCATACCTATGCAGAATTTCTTCTGCACTCTTTCTCCCCTTGCTTCTTTCTCCAACATACCGGGCAACACGAAAGCCCAGCCCAGAGTGATTCTATTATAGTAATGCTGCTTCTTTAATTGCTTGCCAGTCTGGGTTCTAGAACATCATCATTTTAGAAACAAATCACTTTATTTTCTATCATTGGGTCCAGTGTAATTAATTTTGGAAACTTTTTTTTTGAAAATAGAAAGCAATGCAAAAAAAAAAAAATAGGAAGAAATAGGCATTTCTAAAGAATAATGAAGGGCTTACCTGCTATTTGTATTTTAGTATTCAACTTATTGTTTACTGAACATTCATTATGCATCTAGCAGAATGACATATGTTCGGAGTAATAGCACGTTTTAAGTGTTTATTCAATTTTTTAAATCTTACACCTGTGATAAACGTCAAGGTTATAATGTTTTACACAATTCTTACTAAGACTGTTCCAAGATTGTATAATGCAGATTCTTCCATAAAATTCACCTAGGATAATGCTATTATTTTTAACTGATAAATTTTAAATGGGTTTTGAAGATTAATAGCATTTTCATATTTATTGTCAAATCATCAATTTCTAGAATTATTTTTTAAAGCACGTTTTAATTTATATGTATCATCTTAAATTTTTTCTTAAATATTGATCATCAGTATTGTCTCAGTTGTTCTTTACATAACAATTTTCTTACATTCCAAAATATATCATTTGGCCAACCATACTTATGATCATTTTATGCTATTCTATGTTATAGATTTTTCTCTATTTGTCTAAAAATGTTTTGCAGAGGCTCATAAAGCTACTAAATCCGGGCATATATTTTTTAAATAAGGTTGTTTTCTGGATGTTTTTTTCTGGTTATTGTCAAATCAAGTAGTCATGACTCAGTTATTTTAAAAATGGAAACAAAACAGTTTATAATTCATTATTTCACAAAGGTATGCCTATTTCATGACAACTAACCCTTTATTATTGGCATAATAGAAAAAAGGCTCTCGTGGTGAAAAATGAGAAGAAATTAAGCTGGCAGTTTAGAATGGGGAATGACACTTAAAGTGAGCTCTGTGATTCATGTAGAATAATCTATCCTTCTAACGTATTCGGCAGCTAATTATAATGCTCCTCTAAATCAATCTGTTTCATAACCATATTTTTTCAAAGACTACTGTTCAAAAGCTAAATATAGCCCTAGACATCTCAAAATTAGAGTGTTTCCAGGAAAATGGTGACTTTAAAGAAATGTTCTGGATGTCAAATTTGGACTGTTTAACCAAAAAAGTGATAGTATTCATTGAGTCAAGAATGTATTCTCCAATAAATTACATTTAGGGTTCTAAGCAAACTGTCAACTACTTTTTCTAATTGTGCAGATTTTATTTCCTTTTACTTGAGTGTTAGTTTACTGCTTGCGCTAATAGTTATATCTTTACAGTCTAGTTCCATGGTGAAGCTGACAAATATGTATTTCTTGTTCACCTGGATGATTTCGATCTGCACTCTAGGTTTTTGTAAAAAGCAACCTAACTCACTGAGCTTTTTCTTGCTGTCGTAGAAGAAAGTAGAATAACTACAACTAAGTTTTCAATAAATTGGTTTGAGTTGTCTCTATAATCTTTTCTGGATGTTGACACTGTATAGCAATATATATAGAAATAATAATCTTAGCTTAATGTATCCTCAAACATAACATTTCTTTACTGAAATCTTATCTTGGTACTTAAATATAACTTCTATCTTGAAAATATCTCAATTGGTCTCCTCTTTTAAAATAGCAATGGTGGGGAGGGGAGAGGCCCTAAGAAAATGTATCTATTCTAGGACCTACCAAGTTAACATAACATTCTGCAAATCATTATAAATTTAAGATACTCGATATGGTCCTGAAATACCTCTAAACTCCAACTTTGTTTGGGTTTGGAGGATACAGCATCATTCACTATTCTGTGTTAAACCATGCATTCAGTTGTTTCCATTTATATTGCATCAAAGCAGTTGAAATCCAATTGAAAAGTTTCTTTAGACAGCCATTGTGTGGGAACATGATGTCAATATTAATAAAGGCTGAATTTCCCCTTGGCTCACTTCTTACAGATAAGCTTTTCAATAATACACTGCTTGCACCAAAGGTCTGATGGGACTGGGAATAGTAAAAAACACTAATAAAAGAATGTTGAATGTTTTTATATTAAATTTCCCCACAGGCAAACTGAAAAGCCTACTTAGAGAACGCCAATCAACGTGGCACTTATTAAATGTAACAAGAGTCCTGTTACAACAGATCTTTAAAGCCCTAAAAATGAATTAGGAAATAGAGACAAAAGACAATTGCAAATTCATTTTTAAATGCAAACTCTGGACATATCACCTGATATGTGTAAAATTGATTCTGGCTTGTTTGATCTTCAAAAACTATTCATTAATGGGAGCATACAACTTAACGTTTTTTTTTTTTTTACTTAAAGGAACTAGGCTTTTTACCTAAAATAATTTTAGATATTTGTTTCATAAACTTATCAAAGAAAAATAAAAGACATACATAAATTTTCACGTTCTATTTTTTTAAATAATAAATACAATAACACACCAGTTCAGTGACTAAAATAATGACTGGATAAACTGGAGAAAAAGAGGCAATTGTAAAAATTAATGTCAGCCTAGCAAAATGAATTGCAACTTAGAACAAAAATAAATGAGTTTTTGAATGCCGTATCAACATTAACACAGGGTTTGTCCTCAATTCACAGACTCACCAACCATCACTTTCATCTGAAGTTTGGCAATATCAAGATGGTGACACATATATTAAATCTGCCCATCTTTGAGAACTTGACCCAAGCTGAGACTTTGACTTGAGTTCAGTAATAAAAATAAACTCAATTGCTAAACATCAGTTATTTCTCACACACATAGGAGAAAATGGGAATGGTCACTGGGACTTCAGAATAAAATGTAATGGCTTAGAAGTAATTTTTTTATTATAGATTCTATAATTCTGTTTAATATCATGATAGCTTTATTTCTTACTTCTTACAAGGAGCTTCCAAAAAGTCAAATTTTCCAATATCCAGAGAAATAAGAATTTTTTAACCTTTTAAGTGGGCATTATAATAAAAAAAAATCCAGAATGATGTAAATGACATAAACTTCCTATACTTTTTCGATTCAATAAAAACATATTATGTACCATGTATGTGACACTATATGTTTATAAGCATATATATGTAATATTTTCTGTGTATATAAAACATTTATACTTTTTTAAGAAAATCAAATAAACCTTTTGAATATAGTAATTCAACTTGGCATTCTCTATCAAAATTAACTAAAATTGTAGTTAACAATTTACAGAAGATAATAGAATCTTCAAATTAAAGCTACAAATCAAAGCTATTTTCCTTTATTATATGTCTGAATAACTTGTCAGCATGACAGTCACTGAATTTTATATTACATTTGAAGTTTGCTGAGATATAAAAATTGGTCAGGATGTAGAGTATTTTTATTTAGAGTATTGTTATGTATTTATTTCCAATTCCGCAAATTTCATCTAAATCCTCAGTGTGGGGAGGATTTCAAAGGGGGGCTCAACCTTTGAACACTTTTATAGCCATGGTAAGCTCTAGATTTTTTTTTTTTCCTGATGCCTTAATGAGAATCCAACTTATCCATTTTGAAATATAGTAAGTTTATTTTTTCAAAAATATCTTATACTCACTCATATTTTACCTACTGGCTCTGTTTTATGTCAGTTCAGAGTTTTGTATCTTTATATTGATCACTAGTTAGAAGAATCTGTTAAGAATCTGTTAATAATTGAGAATTAACATTAGCACATGACAAATCTGATCTGTTGTTTGGCTTTATGGATTTACTTTTGCTTTGGATTTATTACAGCTAAGGTATAATTCTCTAAATTGTAAACTCCTATAGGAGGAGATTTCTATCTGAACCTTCTTTGTATCCTACCTGGTACCTAAGTCAGACATTACATTGTAGATACTTATATAAAAATGTGGCTTTAGTAGTGATGATATTAATATTATATGTTTTTTTCCTAAGGAACATGTTGATACATAGTCTATACATATCATGCACTGAACTTGTATGCTTATACTTTAAAAATCAATTACATAATACCAAAAACCTAATGTGCCAGTTTTAAACTCTTTCATTTTTGTTACAATTAAAATAAGTTGTGTTGGGTTCAATAAGCGTTTATCTTATAACTAACTGAAACCACAATTTAATTCAACTGTATATATAATAATATTTTATTTTTCTCTTAAAAACAATAGTGACAAAGTGGCACACCATTCTTATTCCTTTTCATTCTTTGGGATTTTTCTCATGGCATTTATATCCCAGTGGCTTTTATAATTTAGGTATTTTGGTTGTTCCAAGTGAAGAGGAAAAGGAGCATTTAAGGGTAACTTCAACTAGAGATCAGATGAGGATAAGAACTAAAAAAAAAAAAAAAAAAAAAAAAACTCTAGGTTTTCTCTTTGCTTTTGATCTAAATGAAACTTCACAAAAGCATAAGCTTCCTGCAGATGCAAAAGGGATTTCACTACAATCATACACACAATCTGTAAAGTATTTGTACTTATTTGGTGGTTGAACAGTGCTTACCTGTAATTTCATTGCTATACCCATACTAGCATCCTAGAAGATAACATTATGTATGCAAAGTTGCTTTGTAGACTACAAATATGACTAATGTTTCTGCTCTAAACTAAGATCCTAATTATTTCCTCATTCAGACAATTTTAATTATTTAGACTCCAATAAAATTTTGGCTATAAAAAAGGTGTCACATTTAGCCTTTAAGTGGCCATATATCTGTATATGATTTTAAATTCATATTGAACCTTTTTATTTTCTCTAAATTTCTGTTTTCTCCTAAATATGAATGATGAAATTGAATATTTAAATTAAATAATAGCAAATATTTCTCTTAATTTTTTCTTAATTTATCATTGCTTCATTTTCTTATTTCTCAATTGCTACAGATTTCAACAACTGGTACTTTGAAATTTAAGTCCAAACCTGAACTTATACGGTAGAATATTGCTTTGTGCCCTTTTTATACAGTACAACTTCCACTCTGGTTATATAGAATTATATTATACAAATCCTTTCATTGACAACTTCTGGCACAATTTTACAATAATATATGGATTATATATTAATCCATGAACACTAATTTTTAATGATATTCAAAATAAAATACAGCAATATAGCCACTATTGATGTTTAAAATGTGCTGTTCTTTTATGTAAACTCAGTTTAATACATGATCAGAAATATACAAAGACAAAAGTTTTATGTAAACACTTAATATGGGATAAAGATATTTCAAATGTAAGCATTACAGTGGCATGTGTGTGTTTTTGATATAGTTTTTCATAAATAAGAAAAATAATTAAGAATTAACATTAGCACATGCCAAATTAATCTATATATATCATTAAATAGCAATCAATTCAAAGGCAAGCTCTTCTAAAGTGCTTCTAAGTTTCACCCACTCATGCCTCTAACATTTCTTTTCCTGTTACTAAGTTTAACAAAGAGGAAAGATCCTGAAATACGAAAGAAAAAAGGGGAATTTTTGACATTAAACGACTGAACCTCAGTTTTTTTCTGTCAATATAAGCATAGATATCCATCTTAATCTGGTTATCATAGAAAATCAGATGATTTTAAAACTAAGTACAAAGTGTGAAAAGATAAACAAATATAGTTTAAACTCAGTGAAGGAGGAATTTATTTGATCTTGTATGAAACTACGTATTAGTGAAAAGGTAACAGTCTAACAACTAGAAAACAATGCTCAGTACATTTACGTAGCCCTTTGAGGTTTAATTCATGTGTTCTACATAGATCTACATACACTTTAATACATCTACATAGGTGGTCTACACACATCTAATAGATGATTTGAGAATCATCATTTGTAAAGTATTGTACAAATGTACAGTATTTTAGACACTCCAGAGACTAGGACGCTGATTAGAACTGAAAAATTAGGGGTTATTTTCAATTCTGATACTATTTACACTCCTTGGGGGAATTGTTTAAACCCAGTCTCATATTTTTCTAACTGCAAAATGCCTTTCCCCAAATTAGAAGACGTCTGAGAGTGAATAATGTTTGTTCTTACCTCCATGGAAAGAAACATCATAGATATATGGCTAAAAGTTTAAAATATCACCAATGATACAGTATTCAAGTTGAAAGTTTCACAAAGTAAAGGGACAAAGGTGACATCCATTTCAGCTTTTTCTCTTTCCTTGAATTTTTGATTTATATGACTCAAAAGGTTAATCTTAGTAAAGCACAGGGAAAAGATAGTTATCCAAGTGACATTTGCAGACATTCTACAGGTATGATATATTAAAGGGTGCATTTAGGAGTCCAAGGAATATTGGAAAATACCACACATAGACAGTTTTAACATTGCTGCCTTCTTGTCAAAAGTACAAAATGATCAACATGGAAAGGCATCATTTACAGTCAGAATTTGACTGGAAGGGATTGTAAAAAACAATAATTTCAATTCTGTTATTTTTAACCCAAAGTTATTGGGCAGCAATTCCGTAACTGGTAACAATTTTCCAAATTATAATTAAGTACACGTGAATGAAAGAAATCCAATGGGGTAGCGGGGGAAAAGGTTGATTAAGATGTTGTCTTCAAGGAACCTAAAGCCTTGTGAGGCAGACATATTTAAACATGTAAATAGTGCAAGGCAGAGTAAAGTAATTGCCATTTAGAAGTTCAAAGTGCTTTGAGAGCCCATAGGAAGAAGTAATTAATTCTGACTTGTACAGTGGGGAAAGCTCCATGAAAAAGAGCTTTCGAAAAGGGCCTTGAAAGAGATGTAGTAATTTGGTGGGTAGAGGGAGAGAAGACATTCCATGCCGAGGCAGGGACATCATCTTAGGCCTCTAGGAGCTGGAAAGAAAAGCCATGGCTTATATATTTTAACCGGAAATTTATATAACAGTAGAGTGGGAATGTGAAGACTGATATTTGTATTTTCATATGTATATAAATTTATCTAGGATCTTTGGAATTCTGGAAAAATTGTTTAGAATACTTACTGCAAAATAGTTTCCCTTGTCTTTTAACACTTGTATGTTTTAGATTTAAATCATGTTTACTAGCAATTTAGTTTTTAATCAGTTATTATATGTATTTAAAGAATATGTATAACTTCACTTCTTATATATAAGTATTTTCTAGTTTATTTGATTACGTGACATATGTGTACACAAAGTGGGCCTTGTTTTCCTATGAAATCTGAGATGCTTTTCACCCAGTTGCTGGAGTTGAAACATTCTGGTAAGGAAGCAGTAAAATAGGCATCAGCTTCATTGCGTGCTATTTAAATAAAATATAAAGTTATTTATATTTAAATAAATTTGAATAAAGTTATTTATATTTAAATAAAATATAAAATTAAACTTGAGGCCAAACTCCTGCATCTTATAATACTCTTCTGAACCCTGAGGTCTAGAACTTTTACCTTCTTTAGTTATCTTGCAGTGGGAGAAGAGGAGGAGAGAAAGCCTTTTCTTTTTTAATCTTTAGAATCATTGGAAAGAACGTTTATACCAAATACGTACTGGTATTGTTATTTGAAGTATTATATACATGTTTGGGAAACAAGGAGCCAATGCTTCATTCATTTACTTTATTAATAGTTATTTTAAATGGAAAACATTGCATTAAGATACAGTTCGTATCTGAATAATATATTTGTCCAAGGGAATAAGGGACCTCATTATTTTAAAGTGTTTCTTCTTATAGCTACTACTAAAGCTCCTTCTACCTACATTTTATTGGTCATTATTTTTAAAGAGGAATCATAAAGTAAATTCATTTGTTTTTATTTTTCTTTTTTTAACCTACAAATTTTCAGTGTATATTCCTAATATTAAAATAAGGAAGTTCAATATAATTACCAAGAACCGTGAAAACATAGCTATTACTCCCTACGGCTGCACAATCCAAAGCATCTCCGGGCTCAGGTTGAAATTTTAAATGCCTGGCCTGCCTGGTAATGGGATGGGATCCTGTGGTTGATGCTCTGTGGACAAACTGAGGAAGCAGGTTCCTGGGCCAGCAAGAGCTGAAAGGCAGCAGTCAAACTACTGAAGACTCTTATGCGAGGCATCCGGCATCCCAGGATGGAAACCGGAGCCCTCAGACAAGAGCAAAGAGGTGATGACCTTGAGGAGTCAGAGCCTGGAGAGATCCCTGAACCACTTGGGACCCAACTGAACACTTCTGATAGGCTGCCTAGGAATTAACCAAGGGTGGAAGGGATGTGTTAAGGATATCTGCCCGGATATTACTATTCCTCTAGACTGTTGATATCCAATCCCTTGAACTAACAAAAAAACTGCAGAAATAAAATAAAGCAATATGTTATCTTTGTATGAGGCTGATGATTCCTCATGGCTCTTTATTTCAAAATAGCTTCTAAGAATGGGGAACAAAGTATAGATAAGATTTTGATGCATCCCTTTTTGTCTAGGGAAGAAAAAAGTTTTGTAAAGGAAAATTATACTTATTACAGAGATGTGAAGGTAATCAGTAAATCAATAAATCAATCCATAAATCAATCTAATTAACTTTCTTTAGCCTTCATCTTCTTACACTTCAGAACAGAACAATTTCTTGTAACACATTTCTTGTTATTCAGATCACCAATTTAAAAAATTTTACTTTAGCGCATGCAATTTATATAATATTAGCTTGCTTTTTAAACTAAGAGCCAAAAAACAAAGTTCAGTTCCCTGGTAAAAATATATTTTTTCAGTTAAACTTATGTGATTTACTTTTGTGTCTTTACCCCTAAGGTTTCTGTAAGTGTAATCAATCAGTCTGTTTCTTACAATCTACTTATTTTCTTATAACGAAAGCATCAGCCCAGCAGGAGTAAAATATATTAAGTCATGTGAACAAAATAAAAAAATTTTGTTGCAACATCACTTCTAAAAATCACAGTTTCTCCATATAATTATAACTTACTTTTTCTGTAACTAATATGTAATTATTTGAAGCACTATACTATAAAAAATCTAGCTTTATATTTATACTTGTATAACATACATAGTGAAGGAAATGAAATCTATCTTATAAAAGATAGAGCTGTGTGAAATTGCTAATATCCAATTTCTTTTGATTTTTTTTCTGTTGCATATCATTATTTATTGAAAAGGAGATTAGATATGTTTTCAGCCATTATAAGTTTACTTTTTTTTTATTTTCTAATTCTATCATTTTATTTGAAAAAAAATTTTTTTTATTATACTCTAAGTTTTAGGGTATATGTGCACAATGTGCAGGTTAGTTACATATGTATACATGTGCCATGCTGGTGTGCTGCACCCATTAACTCGTCATTTAGCATTAGGTATATCTCCTAAAGCTATCCTTCCCACCTCCCCCCACCCCGCAACAGTCCCCAGAGTGTGATGTTCCCCTTCCTGTGTCCATGTGTTCTCATTGTTCAATTCTCACCTATGAGTGAGAATATGCGGTGTTTGGTTTTTTGTTCTTGCGATAGTTAACTGAGAATGATGATTTCCAATTTCATCCATGTCCCTACAAAGGACATGAACTCATCATTTTTCATAGCTGCATAGTATTCCATGGTGTATATATGCCACATTTTCTTAATCCAATCTATCATTGTTGGACATTTGGGTTGGTTCCAAGTCTTTGCTATTGTGAATAGTGCCGCAATAAACTTACGTGTGCATGTGTCTTTATAGCAGCATGATTTATAGTCCTTTGGGTATACACCCAGTAATGGGATGGCTGGGTCAATGGTATTTCTAGTTCTAGATCCCTGAGGAATCGCCACACTGACTTCCACAATGGTTGAACTAGTTTACAGACCCACCAACAGTGTAAAAGTGTTCCTATTTCTCCACAACCTCTCCAGCACCTGTTGTTTCCTGACTTTTTAATGATTGCCATTCTAACTGGTGTGAGATGATATCTCATTGTGGTTTTGATTTGCATTTCTCTGACGGCCAGTGATGGTGAGCATTTTTTCATGTGTTTTTTGGCTGCATAAATGTCTTCTTTTGAGAAGTGTCTGTTCGTGTCCTTCGCCCACTTTTTGATGGGGTTGTTTGTTTTTTTCTTGTAAATTTGTTTGAGTTCATTGTAGATTCTGGATATTAGCCCTTTGTCAGATGAGTCGGTTGTGAAAATTGTTTCCTGACTTTTTAATGATTGCCATTCTAACTGGTGTGAGATGGTATCTCACTGTGGTTTTGATTTGCATTTCTCTGATGGCCAGTGATGATGAGCATTTTTTCATGTGTTTTTTGGCTGCATAAATGTCTTCTTTTGAGAAGTGTCTGTTCATGTCCTTCGCCCACTTTTTGATGGGGTTGTTTGTTTTTTTCTTGTAAATTTGTTTGAGTTCATTGTAGATTCTGGATAGTAGCCCTTTGTCAGACGAGTAGGTTGCGAAAATTTTCTCCCATTTTGTAGGTTGCCTGTTCACTCTGATGATAGTTTCTTTTGCTGTGCAGAAGCTCTTTAGTTTAATTAGATCCCATTTGTCAATTTTCACTTTTGTTGCCATTGCTTTTGGTGTTTTAGGTATGAAGTCCTTGCCCATGCCTATGTCCTGAATGGTAATGCCTAGGTTTTCTTCTAGGGTTTTTATGGTTTCAGGTCTAACGTTTAAGTCTTTAATCCATCTTGAATTAATCTTTGTATAAGGTGTAAGGAAGGGATCCCATTTCAGCTTTCTACATATGGCTAGCCAGTTTTCCCAGCACCATTTATTAAATAGGGAATCCTTTCCCCATTGCTTGTTTTTGTCAGGTTTGTCAAAGATCAGATAGTTGTAGATATACGGCATTATTTCTGAGGGCTCTGTTCTGTTCCATTGATCTATTTCTTTGTTTTGGTACCAGTACCATGCTGTTTTGGTTACTGTAGCCTTGTAGTATAGTTTGAAGTCAGGTAGCGTGATGCTTCCAGCTTTGTTCTTTTGGCTTAGGATTGACTTGGCAATGCAGGCTCTTTTTTGGTTCCATATGAACTTTAAAGTAGTTTTTTCCAATTCTGTGAAGAAAGTCATTTTGATCTACAAAATGAGAGTTATCAATTGTTCAGTGTAAATACTAGAATCCACAATTATTCAAAGACATTTTAACTGTTCCACCTAACTTCTCATTTATTTACTTTCCTGATTATATATTACGAAATGAAGGAGACTCTGGAGTATTCATAGTTCTTTTGACTAAAAAGTTATCTCTGCGTATGCTTTAGAAACAACCTTCTTGAAAGAATGCCCTCTGATTCATTGCAACTCACTGGCACAACCTAGTAATGACTGGCTTAAAGTTTCCAGCTTCCGCTGCTCTGCATTTGGTATGCTATGGACAACCTCAACCAGTTTTGAAAGCATACACATTTTTCTTCTATATATGGATAGGGACTCTAATATATCTTTCAGCTGTATTGTTTATTTTGATTTGTTGTATTATTTATTCTATTTTTTAATACTTATTTGATAATTATCCTGAAAAATTATCGAAGCTACTAAAATGATTTGAAAATAAAATTTTCAATATAACTACGAATGGCCTTTCAGTAGGCCTTTGGTTAAATTTTGTTTCTTAGAATTATAGTAAGATTTGAGCCTCATTTGAAGTTAGGCTGTCAAAATGCTACTGAACTAAAACATTTTTCTCTATTCATTGACATAACTCTGGTTCATCGTGGTGTTCTTGTCCCCTGCTAAGGTCAAATAAAAGAAATACCTCTAAGAAGAATACCACTGTAGTTTCTATAAAAAGTTCCACTGTGAATGCTGGTCAGTATTTTATTCAGTGGCCCTTATTTTCAAAGGAAAAACAAACACTTGCAAGTTTTACTTTCAGAACTGTGGAACAAAAAAAAAAATGCTGTGTTTTTCTGATGAATTGATATGCTTGCTTCAAGATAAAAAGAGATCTGTATCCTATAATATTTCCCTTTTTGCTTGGGCTACTTGGAACCCCAGAGTTAAATTTGGTTTTAATTGCAATACCTTCAGCATGATTTTTGAAATACTATCTTGTCCTTTTGCTTTGATGATTGTTTTTTCCCACTAAGTTAAGATCCTTTTTGTTTGTTTGTTTGTTTGCAAAAAAGCCATTAGTCTAGCTTATGTTTCTAAAGTAAGTTTAATATAAATAAATACATAAAAATATACCAGATGAAACTAGCATGCAAAGTCATCATTCTATTTATAGACAAACTAAGAAAAATAATAATGCCTAGAAGGCAAATGAGTTTCAAAATGTAAATTTACAGAGGTTTGACAAAATAAATGATGGAAATGAAAACATTTTGAAAGGTTTTTTATTCTATAAGGTCTCATAAAAAAATACTACGAACAAGTGAGGATCTTTGTATTTGCTAGTATTTTTAGTTGAAAAAATAAAAACTTGGAAATTTACTCCCCAAAAGTAAATCTATCAAAAGGTCTGCTTATCAAAAGATCTGTTTCTGGGATTCAGTAAATAATCAGTCACCACAGTGTATAGACAGATTCTGCCATGTATTAACCCTGCTAGCATTGTGTCTTCAGGGTTCAATGCTGACCATCACTTTAGGATCTGCAAAGTGTTCAAATGCCAAATCAGGTAATGCCCATTTTCACTGATAACCAACCATTGCAAACATCCCAGGCTTTTGTCAGCATGGCAGGTCCAGAGCCATCCATCAGTGCTGGTATTTCTGTCATATGCATTTAACTTCAGCACCAGGCAGCCGCTCAAAGACTTAGTTATTGAACATGGTTATTGCCGCTGCAGAGGTGGGGAAAAGGCAAAGCATAAAGTTGTGTGTTTTTAATGGTCTGTGTTGGCAGTTATTAAGGAGCTTTTTCCTTTGTGGAATCATTGACTCTAGTCTTGAAGACAGAAAACCTTTAGGACACATAATCTACCAAACTGCTTCCTGAAACTTTATAAAGTCTTTTGATTTGGAAGAAAGGATCTAAGCTAGTTAATAACAGTTGCTGCATTGCTTATTTTAAATTCCAAAGTGGAACAATGTGCCTTCTTCAGGGCAATATTCATACCATATGCTTCTTACTGTTTTGATTCTCTAGGGTACAGTTGAGCAAACTGAACATCAGATAGTGTGTTCTATCCTCCCCAGCACCTAGGTCATATTCTGGGAATAAATTAGGCTGAAAGAAGTGCATTGACTCTTCGAGGCCACTGGGGTACTATTTAAGGAATCACATGTGAAGGACAAGGGGTGTTGCTGTCTTCCCAATATCTGGAATAGAGATGTATTTCAAGCCTTGGCAGAGGAGTGGACCAGCTAATTGTCTGTAGTTTAGTGTGTGGCTACAACATGAATAGACATACTTTTGAAGAAGGCGGTCAAGGTGTGTTGAGATATGGTGAAGGGCAGAGGGGGATGGTTCAAGACATCATGAATCAATAATGAGATCAATTCATATATTAGAGCATATTGTACAATATTTGGCTTGTTAGAATTCTTGGGGTTTTTTTAAGAGACAAAGTTTAACAAAGAGGTTATTACTTCAGATGGGCCCTAGCATGTACAAGGAGATAAAGTAAATGTAAGTAAAAACACATTTGATAGTTTTAAGTCCATTTGAAAGAGAATATCTTTTATGAGAGAAAAACTGCAAAGACAGAAAGAATGCCTTGAACATGTATCTCATAAAAATATCTTTTCTTCAAAGAGTTCAAAGCATTTTAATAAGTTAACTTGCCCTTATAACTTCTTTTTTCAGAATTCCAAAACCATAAAACAAACAGAAACTAAACCATCTTTATGTTTATTGTGTCTGATGAGAGGGGAAAATGTCTCTGCTAGATAGAAGGATAATCTTTGAAAGATTTACTGGTGTGAAACTTTCCATTTTCAGTCCCTGATTCTGGCTTTTAATTTCTGAAAAAATAAATAAATGTACTCATCCCTCTCCTACCTAAGCTCATGACTCAGAACATTTCCTTTCTCAGCCTATGTAGCATCAGTTTCTGAGACTTTGTATGAAAACTACTATGTCCTTGATTAAACCTGTTACTGAGTATTAGAATATAATTTATCATTTTAGTTATCTCTCAAAAATTGATAATTAGTATGATAACCTAATTATCCTGGAGGGTAAAGGGATTACTGTGTCTAAAAGTATTTTCCTTGCTTGCGTTTTATCAAGAACCAAACTGGAGAAACAAAAGAAGCAACTATCACAATAGCAAAGAAACAGGCTCAAAATAATACAGAACAAATTGAATGTGTAATTGCTGAAGGCATGAATACAGTAGGGTGGAGTAAGAGTAAGGTGGAGTAAGGCTTCACAGAGAAGAGAAATTGGGAATCGAACTGAAATGAAATTATAGTGATACGTCAAAAGATAGTATTAGCATTCAACAAAAAATTACTATAATAGGTAATGGCGTTCTACTTAGTAGAAAACGCATAAACATAGAACTCTGCTAATGCAAATATGCTCACAAAAGCAAATATAATTTAATATTCAGTCATCGGTAAACTAGGCTCGGACCAGGATAATTTCCCAACATGCTCATCTAAAATCCAATGTGCTACCAGCCTGGGCAACATAGACAAAAATTTTAAAAATTAATCTGGCAGGAGGATCACTTGAGACAAGGAGTTCAAGGTTCCACTGAGCTATGATCACACCACTGCAATCCAGTCTGGGCAACAGAGCAAACCCTATCTCTAAAAAAAATAAGAATAAAAATAAAATCCATTGGGCCAGAAAGCAGTCAACTTCTTTATATCAACAACTGATACCATCTTGGCCTAAATCACCATTACTTCACCCCATCATAGTCTTCCATCTAGTCTTTCTGCTTTTACCCTCGCCCCTCTATAATGCATTATTAATATGGCAGGTAAAGCAATACATTCAAAATGTAAGATCTATGGCACCTTGCAACTACAAATACTTCAGTGACTCTCTAGTCCATTCAAAATAAAGGCCTTATGTGAACTGCTTTCCTCATGCCCCCATTAACTCCCTGATTTAATCAACGCTTCTGCCTTTGCTCACTCTCTTTAGCTACACTGGTGCTTCACTGCTCATCAAAACATCAACAAGTATGCCTTCTTAAGGCCTTTTCCCTGGCTATTTCCTTAACCTGTAGTGATCTTCCTCCAGGAACCAAAGCCCATCTCTTTCTCACCTCTTTCGAGTGTTTGCTTGAATGCCACCTTCTTGATGAATCTTACCTCCCTTGACCAACCTATCCGAATTTACATCTGCTCTGACACTCACTTCTGCTCCATAGTCTGGGTTTCTCCCTCCATGCTCTTTAATTTCCATCTTACTTATCCCTTTCCAGAATTCTGGAAGATTATATAATTTAGTCATTTATATTTATTTTATACCCCCTTACATCAGGATGTAAGTCCCATGTCTCATAAGGGCAGATAGTTCTTTTCTTTTCTCTTGTTTTCTCCTGGTGGCACTGGGGATTGGTTTTGAATACTGATACTTTCCAATTATCTTGAAAACTCCCAGGCTCTTAGTGTGCCAGTCAATACAAGAGAAACAAGTGTTGCAAGAAAAAATGTGAACACTGTATTCTAATCATTTTTGTAATCCCTTACTTAGTTCAGCATTTTGGTACATCAAGGTTATTCAGTTTAAGTTTGCTAAACTGAATTAAATCTCTAAGGACTTTTAAAAAATTTTCTCTGCAACTATGAATAATGAGAAAAAAATATAAAAACATTCCAGATATGAATAGCAATTGAAATTTCTGCCATAGACTGTGGGGAGTTCTGTGGCCTATAGTCATTTAGACACGATTTAGTCTTAGATGTTTTGATTGTTTTTTCTCTGATTGAATTAGTAATCAAACTTGTAATCAAATATAAGAGAAATGGTACAACTCTAGATTTCTGGAAGAATATATATTTGAGTTGGTTATTTGTGTTATGCCTTTTTTTTCCATGAAACTAAACCCCTCAGAATTTTAGCTATGATGCTATATGTATTTTGTTCTGTCAGATCTGAAATTTGACCACTAATAATTTTTTAAGTCTCCTATTAATAGTAAAATTCAAGTAAGAAAATTCTTCTTTCCACATTAACAGTTAGGTTAGAATCTGCCACTCTTGCAGAAAATACACAGCAAGCCTTTTTGGAATTGAGAGGGTATGATAGATCATATTAGTATATTATGATATTAAAATTAGCATTATATAATAAGAAAAGGGATTATAAACAGTTTGGGAGTCCTGAGGCTTTTATGAGTGGGTGTGTTTGTGTGTGTCTATGCTGACACACACAATTGTTTCTGTAGCAGCAGCAGTGATGTTCTTATTTTGATGAAAAAGAGACAAAAGGTTGGTAACATAAAGAAAGTAAAGGCAGTAAGTAATAACAAATCGAACGTCAAGAAAAAGTAGTTTGGAAGTGCTAGAAATTGAAAGGAAAGGTTGAAATAGGCTAAAGTTATAGACTGCTGCTTTAAATAGGATTTCTTATAAATTATATTAAATACTAAATTTAGGTCTGGTTTTCTATTTTGTGTTTGAATTCCTGTTGCTACACTTTTTTAGAAGGAAAGCAAAACACATTTTTTATGAACACATCAATAAGTCGTCTAGTTTCAGTATATTTTGTGTGGAAAATTCACTGCCTGTGGCTCCTCTGAGACACTTTACTGACATTTCTATTAATTTCATTGGATTTTAAAAACCTTTGTTCTACGGGGAATTTTCTTGTTTCTTTCAAGGAAGGAGTCAACCTAGCAGAATGTTGTACTGCATTAGGATCCAGGCATCTTGTGGGATCTAAGCGGGATTTTTTGTGTCTAAGAGAATTGTGCACCCTTAAGTTCTGTATGTGAGAAACCAAAAGGAAAACCAATGAAAAACCAAATTTAAACAATTAATTGAAATGCATTATGTAACTAAGAGTAATATGTGTCCTAAATTCGGATTTGAACATATGGAACCTTGCTATATTAATTTACTAGAGTTTAAGGTCAGATTTATTTTAAAAACATCAAATATGTATGTACTTAACCTTTTTCTTTTGTCATTTGAAGCAATGGAAATCAACCACTTAGATGCCTGCTGAAAACTTCTGTGAATTCTCAAAAAAACAAAACAATAGTTTTGAAAAGTACCATAATCTGTATCTTTCTCTGATGTCACAGGCATAAAGAAATAAAAACGTTTTAACCAGCCTCACAGTTACATGTTCAAAGCACAGTAAAAGATTATTTCCTCCCTTAATTCCACATTTTAGAATTTAGTTGTAGTATTCTACAATAACGCTTTTCAACATAGACCCTTTAATAATATCATATGTTATAGAAATTATGATAATATTATAGTTTATAAGAAGAAATTATTTATTAATATGTAGTGGATATTAAATGATTAGAAGATACATCCCTTTAATATTTATCACCCTAATTGCATATATATATCCACATCCCCCTCTCAAAAATAAAAAAAGCTCTGTCCGGTTGGTTAATCTCTATTTTGAGTTATCTATTTTATCCTTTGTTATCTTTGGCCAATGAAAACTAAAAGCAATCTTTTGTTTCAACAATAATCTAATTATTGCTGCATTGTGCCCCAACATTTTTGAAGAATTGCCTTTCTATTTATATAATTTTCATTACAAAATTCATCTTTTAATATGTCCAAATGTTTTTGTTTGATCACTTTTCTCATCATAGTAATTTTTTAAAAATCTGAACTCACAAACATTTGCTCTAAAAATTGGAAAAGCTCTAGTAGTTCTATGCTGGGGTTCATAGATGCCATGGTTTGATATATGAATTATGCTATAACTCTAAAAATCATAACATTTACAATTCTGAAATAGTTACCAAGTCCATGATTTATTCCAAAATATAATGCTGGTTTAAAATCTTGCTTTCATGATCTTGGGCTTGTGATGGGTTGATGTGATAGTCTTGTGATTCATGAGGATGGCTCATTCATTATTTTTGAGTGGGATAAAGATAGTAGAGCTTATTTATAACTCCCTTAATTGTTTGAAGCTAGAGATGGAAATATAAAATTCTACAACTTAGTTTGCCCTATTCTTGCTTGTATTGTAGCACAAGGACAAAGATTCATTAAAGAGACCTTTAAAATGTGTTAATCTAGGTACTTTAATGAAATTTGTTTGCAGGGCAACCTGTCCCACTTATTTATGCTTAGTAGTATTCATACATAATGGTAATGTGACTGCTCATCTCTAAACCATTAAGGAAGGAAATATGAGAAAAGGGGAATGATGATTAATTTGGGGTGGACTACTTCAAAGGTTTTTGCCTTTTAGAGAGAACTATGCTTATCTTACTTAGCCTTAAAAAAAATTAAAAATTTGAATTAAAATATGCAGCAGACCAGGAACACTGTAAAATTGAAAAGGTAAGTAATATTTATCATTGTGAGTAAAGTACATGAAATAGATTTAAAACATAGTTTCTAAAAAGTTAAAGGTTTTCAGCGTCCATAAACTCCATATCTGAAAAGTAAATGTGTCTTTTAGGAATATTTTCCTCTTCTTTGACTATCTTTATATTGTCAATCCTCCTTCTCCCCTTTCTCAGATAAAGAAATGCCTCAGATCTTTTATGGTTCATCATTCCACTTGTGCTTCTGATCTCACATTGTTTCCTTTGAATTATCACCTTTCCCCTTCTTTTATTTTTATTCACTTCTCTCTAGTTTAGTTACTTTTGCAAATACTAAATACATGTCAATATAACACTTCCTCTGTGAAACAAACCACTGCAATATGGCTGTGAAACAAACCACTACAAGACGTAGTGGCTTAAATCTGTTATGATTTGTATTTTTCTCATCCATCTGAAATTTAGGCAGAGATGAGCGTTAACAGCTCAGCTGTGATTCAGCATCAGCTGAGACGGTTCAAAGCAGGCGGCTGGAGTCATCTGAAAGATTGTTCCTTCATATGTCTGGAGGTGAATGTTGGCTGTCAGTTAGGAAATTTTCTAAAGCTGTCAGCCAGAACATACTTCATGTGGTCTGGGTTTCTTCATGACCTGATGGCTGGGGTTTAAGGGAAAGCATCCTGAGAGAGAGATCCAGGCAGGAACCAAATCACTTGAATGTCCTAATCTCAGAAATCGCTCAGCATTACTTCCACTGTCTTCTACTTCTAGAGGCAGTCACAAAGGCCTGCCCAATTTTAATGGGAAGCAAAATAGATTCACCTCTTGATGGAGTACTGAAAATATTTTGAAAGAGCCTAGTGGTACCAGAAATGCTGCTGTGTACTTTTGGAAAATACAATAGTCCAGTCTGCCCACATTCTCCACCCTTGCCCTCCTCCAAGAACTCCTTCAGATCCCACTACATAGTCAGGCTTACACTCAAGAATCAGGATCTCTTTGTCTACTTCAAGTCCAGATACAGATGAGGCTCCTCAGGTGCAGTTCTTCAAGTGCAGGCCTATGAATTCAGATACCTCCTCCCCCTGACACCCAATGCACGATGGTGAGACAGACTTAATAGATAACCACTATCAACACCATAAAAAAAGGTGGAAATGGAAGGCCTACAGCAATTACTGGTCCACAGAAATTCTAAAACCTAGCTGGGTACATAGCGTTAGTTTCTGGATTAGGGCTCAGGATTGCTACCTGGAAATGATCTCTCACAGCTCTTGACTCTGCTGTTTGTACTCTTGGTTCTACCTTCTGGGAAATCCTTCATTTTTCGTCAAAACTAGCTGGATTTTGCAACTAAGTAGTTTCCTCAATCTCTTTCCTGCCCACAGTATAGAGATCTGAAGACATCTTTTCATTTTCTGTTTGTCTTTTTTAGTTCAAGCTGGCAGTATTGCTACTAGTAAAGTTCTCTTTAAAACTTTGTGGCTTTCCTCTTTTTTTTGGAGACAGGGTCCATTCTCACATTGCTATAAAGAACTACCGGAGACTGGGTAATTTATAAAGAAAAGAGGTTTAATTGACCCACAGTTTCACAGGCTGTACAGGAAGAATGGCTTGAAAGGTCTCAGGAAACTTACCATTATGATGGAAGGAGAAGAGGAAGGAGGCACATCTTACATGGCTGAGGAGGAGGAAGAGAAGTGAGACAAGGGAGGTGCCACACACTTTTAAACAAACAGATCTCATGAGAACTTACATACTATCTTGAGAACAGCAAGGGGGAAATCTGCCCTCATGATCCAATCACCTACCACCAGGCCCTTCCTCCAACACTGGGGATTACAATTCAACATGAGATTTGGGCAGGGACACAGATACTAACCATATCACTCTGACTCTGTCCTCCAGGCTAGAGTGCAGTGGTGGGATCCTAGATCACTGCAACCCAAATTCCTGGGCTCAAACCATCCTCTTGCCTCAGCCTTCTAAGTAGCTGGAACTATACATGTGCACCACCACACCCAGCTAACATTTTTATTCTTTTTTGTAGGGTTGGGGTCTTACTTTGTTGCCCAGGTTGGTCTTGAACTCCTAGCCTCAAGTGATCTTCCCACCACAGCCTCCCAATGTGCTGGGATTACAGGTGTGAGCCAAGGCACCCAGACTTTAAAAATCTTTGTAGCCTTCCTATAATTGTTACTGAAGTTTACTCCTTGAGGCAAAAGACACACTCACAAATCTCATTGAGATAAACCCTTCTCTCTTTCATGGGTTTTCTGTAAGGATGTTGATGAATGTTACCCTGAAGATTTTTAGAAACTCCATTATTATTTAGTGGAGGAGGATCTGTGAGGCACACCTTCAAGATCCTTAGAGGGCCTTTTGTCTGACAAAGTTGCCTGACAAAGTTATCTGAGGTGTTGCCATAACTCTTTCTGAGTTCTTAACAAATGAACATATAGTCCCACCCTTGATTTTATCTTTGTTCTGAAAATATTTCCAAATCTGAGAATCATGTGGTTGGGTATGAGAAAGTATTATTTTTTAACTCAACAAGGCTAGACTCCTTACTATTTTAATTTTGCTTGAAAACTGAACAATTAATTTTTCATCTGTATTTCTCTTCTCTCATTTTATTACAGACAGCAAAAAGAAACCAGGTGGACTTTCAGTATTCTACCTGGAAATCTTCTTAGTTAGATCATCCAATTTACCAGATATGTTTTCCTTTTTCCACGTTACCTCAGGCAATAGTGTTGTAAACTTTCTGTCACTGCATAACAATAATCCCCTTATTTCTTGGTTCCAATATCATTTTTGTCACTTTTACTTAAACTCTTACTGACAGTCTCTTCTGGGGCAATCAAACTTTCATTAAGAAAAGCCCTTTAGATTTTCACTAACACTCTCCTCAAAGTTCTTCCAGTTTCTACCTACCGCCTGCTCCCAAAGCCAGTTTTTAAGTTTGTTATAACAGCATACAACTTCTGGGACCAAAATCTGTTACAATTACTGTGGTTGCATCACAAACCACCCCAAAACTTAGTTGCTTGAAAAGTAAACATATTTTGCTTTATTAATCTGCACATTTTACAGTCTCCAGAGAGATAGCTCATCACTGCTGCACTCAACATCAACTGAGGTGGCTCAAAGGCTGGAAGCTCGAGTCATCTGTAAGCTTTCTCAATTCCATGTCTAGAAATTGATACTGGCAATCTTCTGGGATTTTTGTGGGGTTTGTTGGGCAGATCACCTAATCTAGCTCTTCTAGGTAGCTTAGGTAGCCATACAACATGGTGGCCAGATTCAAGTGCAAGTATCCCAAGAGAGATGGTCAAAGAGAAGGTATATCTATTTTAACACCTACTCTTTAGAGATGCTCAGTGTCACTTATGCCACATTCTATTCATTATGGCAGTCACAAAGGCCAGTACAGTTTCAATGGAAGGGGAAACAGAGTCTAATTCTTGATGAGGACTAATGGAGTTTTAGAAGAGAATTTGGAACCAGAAATATTGCTCTCCATTTTGGATAATAGAGTCTTATGATCTGCCACATACTGTCACCCCTTTCTTTTTTTTTTTTTTTTTTTTTTTTTTGAGATGGAGTCTCGCTCTGTCACCCAGGCTGCAGGCTGGAGTGCGGTGGCGCGATCTCCACTCACTGCAAGCTCCACCTCCCAGGTTCATGCCATTCTCCTACCTCAGCCTCCCGAGTAGCTGGGACTACAGGCGCCCGCCACCACACCCGGCTAATTTTTTGTATTTTTAGTAGAGATGGGGTTTCACCGTGTTAGCCAGGATGGTCTCGATCTCCTGACCTCGTGATCCGCCCACCTTGGCCTCCCAAAGTGCTGGGATTACAGGCGTGAGCCACTGTGCCTGGCCACTGTCACCCCTTTCTTACCTTAAATTTATATCTCAACTAACTATAATCTTGCATTTTTTCCCATTTTCATTTATTATGGCTCTTATTTAGTCCAGGGTTCTGTAATTATTGCAGTTCATTGCAGCCCTTGCATGCACACATGCGTGTGTCTGAATATTATTTACATTCAAATGGGAGAAAAAGAATTGGAAATAAGCCACAGCCTCTATCTCATTAGTTTTTCTTTGTTGTTTTGTTTTCTTTTGTTTTGTTTTTGAGACAGAGTCTGGCTCTGTCATTCAGGCTGGAGTGCAGTGGCACGATCTCGGCTCACTACAACCTCTGCCTCCCAGGTTCAAGCGGTTCTCCTGCCTCAGCCTCCTGAGTAACTGGGACTACAGGAACGTGCCACCACACCTGGCTAATTTTTTGTATTATTAGTAGAGACAGTTTTCCACTATGTTGGCCAGGCTGGTCTTGAACTCCTGACCTCAAGTGATCCACCTGCCTTGGCCTCCCAAAGTGCTAGGATTACAGGCATGAGCCACCATGCTCAGCCTATTCCCTTAGTTTTTGTTAGACAGTCACAGGGTGCATATCAGCAGATGTTAGATACCTTAGGTGCTGATTTTTGAGCTATTGTCTTTTATGTTTCCCACCCACCCACCTTATATGCTCTGCAAAACCATATTTCTCTCTTACCAACTGGCTCTCTGTTAGACTTCTACTCATAGGTGCTAGAGGCAACTTGAAGGAGAAAAAGGCAAAAGAAGGTTGTCATTCTCTCCTGTTTGCTTTCAGCTCCTCTCAGCAATACCCAGCAACATTTCTTCATCCTGACAATAAATGTTTGCTCTGGTAGCAATAACTAATTCCACTTTGCATTTGCTCCAACACTTTCAGAAATAACTTCCCCAACCCCACTAAAAATGGAAGCATCAATTGGCTGATACCCCCTCTTCAGAGGATAGAGTCCCAGCCCTGTAGTGCCCCTCCTCCTAGATCAGAGCCACCCCCATCCCCTCCTCCTAGATCAGAGACACCCACACCACGTAGTAGCACATCCTTCTCGAAGGACTGACTTACAATTTTGTGTGACCCCTTCTCCAACACTCAGGTTGCAATAATAGCCCCTTCTTCTGTTTCTCCAGTCCTGGGAGTGGAAGCTGCTTTTTGTGGTTTCTACCTCTGTGATAATTTATGTACCCTTTGTGCCCTTTCACTTCTTCATTACATGCTTAACAATGCTCAATGCCAAATTTTTTCTCTTGAAATAACTGGTGTGGTTTCTGGAATCTGAAATGAACACTAACGGATATAATTGACATGCTTTATGTCTCCTGCAAAAAACACCATACAGAAATTTACCTTCCTTTATGGTTAAATCGCTTTACTTCAACCTCCCTCACTTTTTTCTGAGAGGGGATATACAAGAATAAAATAATTTAAAACTGTAAAGTTCTTTGAAGTGCAGTAAAAAAAGTAATTGTGTGTATTATATTTTAAAAATAAAAATGGTGACAAAATAATGCTAAGAATAAAACTAAACAAACAAAAAAATACCACAAATTTTATCATATTTTTCCTTGCTTTCATGAATTTTGCATTGTCTCTATGAGTCAGAGTGGTGAAAGTGATGTATGAAGTCACCAGAGAATCAGTGTCTGGTTGCATTAAAGTCCTTATTTTAGCAAAATTTGGCATATACACTACCTCTTTTGTCACAAATAACATACATGAAATACACTTAAATTTCATTTAATGTTGGATAGTCTATATTGTTTTCAAGATGACACAAATAAAATTATCTCTGCAATAGCATTATTTATAATAATGAAAACTTATGGCTCCAAATTAGATTTATGTGTGATATGTTTAATGTAACAATTTTCTAGAAAGCAAGAAAGTAATGTTACCTTACCTTTTATATTATAGGCATTAATATTATATTAATAGGCATTATATATTATAGGCATTAACAGGAATAAGTAGGAAAAAAAAAACTATGTTGTTTTGATATTATTTGTATTTTCCTCCAAGTTCTTATCAATAATAGTTTTAACATACTGATATATTTATACCTTTTAACCTTGCAAAGGATTTAAAAATTTTTTATCTCTAGTTCATAAAACTAACTTACTATCCTCAACCCCTTTGCTGCACTGATTTTTACCTCCTCGATTTTTGTGTATAAAAAGTCAAACTCTCCCTGGGGTGATAGGGCATTTGTCCCGTGTTGTGTGTACTTTTGGCTGTCTTAGAGAACGTGAGAAGAGGGAATGGTGACTTCCGTTTTGGTGTAGTTTCTAGAAACGTTGCTCATTTATTTCCACTTGCTTTGTCAGAGCTAGGTCAACCCTAGAGGCACTCTTTCCCACTCTTTTTTGTAAAAAGGAAGAAAGGGCAACGGATAATTAGGGAACACGGACTCAGACATTAAAGAAAAAGATGAGCCTACTGATAATGGGAACCTTAAGGGCTGTACTGTTTAAGTATCTGACTCATAGGAGCCACTCAAATAATAATTAAATAAATGTTTTAAGTTTTCCTGGGTGAGTGAACTTTTCATGTTGGCAGGAGCCTCAATCACCTATGAATTTCCTAAGGAAAATGTTTAGGTTATCCTTGGATTTCCTCGAATGCAGAAAGGATGGTTGTTTTCTTAATTCAAACATTGAAAAACAAACAAACAAACAAACAAACAAACAAAAACCCACGGAGAAACTTCACCCTAGTGAATGCAATTCTGTAGACAGAAATTGTTAAGAATATAGGAAAGGTCAATACTTAAACGTGAAGACAGAATTTTGTCAAAAATAAAGTTATAGTTTAAAAAAGCAGCAGGTAGGTTTTAACTTACCTATTGTGGAATTTAACAGGCAAATCTCAAATCTTAGGGGTACACATTGCAGGAAAACATACACAGTATTCGTGAAACATGGCATTGAGCTACAACCCAGGACTGTGTGGTAGTAGACAGGAAAGAAGTAGAAGCAGATTTACTGGTATTTTCCCCATAATTTGGCAATCCTGGGTCTTTATGCAGCTAGACTTTGGAAAATCAGCAAATGAAGATGCAACTGTCAGACTCACAACTGTCACAATTAACCTCAGCCAGAAATTCTAGGGACTGTCTTTGATGCTAATCATTTAGCTTGCCTGAAAACTAAAAGGACTTTGGTAGAAAATTAAAAATACAGGAAGACAAAATATACAAGGTAGAGGTTTATGTCTTGGAGAAAATATATCTAAAGAAACAATTTGAGTCTCTTTTGCTTTATTTTGTTTTGGTTATAGTTTGTTTTTGTGCATTTCAACTGCAGGTAAAAGATTTATGGTAATAAATCTCCAAGTGGGAGGAAACTGCATGAGATCATTTTCACAGTTCTCTCACTAGGAAGGTAAGATATTATGTATCTATTATAGAAAATAGACAACAGAGCTCTAAGAGTGGGTAAAGAAATTGCCCTTGGTCACATATGGTAGTGAAGTCGGAGACTAGAACCCAGATCTCATGTTTCTCATTTTTAGAATTTTCCACTATGTATGCTTCTGATTTCTTAAAGTATGAGCCATTAAACAAATCTAGCACTATGTATTCAAAATACACTTTGAAAATCTCTAAGGTTATCTAAAGTTACCAGTAACAGAAGATGGAGTCTAAGTTATATTCTTTTGCATGTGATTTTAAGGTTTTGAAAAACATGAGGTCAAAATGTTCCTATCCATTAGTTCTGAAAATGCCCTCATTTGACTGTGATTGACAATTTTTGGCAATGATTGATGGACTCTGATGCTCAGTGATAAAAAATGACAGCCTTAAGTGTTTTGAAGAAGTTACATTTCAAAGGAATTAAGTTGCTAATGGATTAACAGTGGTCAATGAAGAAAAAGTCCACCACTACTTTCTACATTACTGGACTATCATTTGTCATAGAATACTGATGATCATTCTCACAAGTTCTTTCCGAGATTTCAATGAAACAGAATTATCTTTCAGGCAAGACTTTATTTTATTATGAATCCTAAGTTAACCCATTAAGTCAGCCACTATGCCCTAGGATGTGATAGTTCACTGGAGACAGCACTAGTTCGCTAGGGCACTTCCTTCATTAACATCAGCTCTTTTGATAGACCCAGAGTACATTTTCTCAAACTCACACAAAATGACAGGACAGTTAGACCAAAATATCATTTTCACTTTGGCCTCAGATCCATGTTATTATTGTAATTATGACTAGTTTTCTAATGAATTATAAAATTCTTTTGTCTTTTTATATGAAGTTAGATGTAACCATTTTTACTTCTTAAAAAAATTGAGGCTTCAATTATGTGCTTCATTCATCGGGGATCTTATCCAGGGAAAAAAATGATAATTTGTGAAGAGTCAATCCAACTATTTTGTCAATAAATCTCCCAGTAAAATACAATTTTGCCTCCCAAGCCAACATTTTTTTTCCAAATTTCTTCATTTCTGTCAATGGTATTAATATCTTTAAAATAAATAAGTATTGACCTATACTCATCTTGTTTTCTTACTTTCTCTAACCAACTCCATTTTATTTCTATATGTTTTAATTACTTTTGTAATATGTTTTGCATTCTTCACTTTTTAAATTTCCATAGTTATCACTGTTGTTCATAACATTAAGCCTAAATAATACAATGGCTTCAATGAGATTCAAAAATAAATTTTCCTAAGTTTAGGCTGAGGAAACCATGCTTAACAGTAGTAGCATTTGTGAAAAATCATAAGAATCGTGGCGGACAATTCACTCAGCATTAATCTACAAACAATCATCTTGGGTTGCAGCATCAGAAAGACATGCATTGAAACTTAGAATGTGGGACAAGATGATGTAATGAGCTTTGGAATTTAATCATCTGGATTTCAATCTTGATTGTCTGACCTTAACTCACTGCCAGGTTTCTCATCTGGAAAATTGTAGATAATGATAACTATCACTTATTGTGTATTTACCCTGTGCCAGGCAATACATGGCAGGAAGTATGCCTTATTTCATTTAACTTTCATAGTAACCCTGCTAAATAAATAACATTATTATTCCCGTTTTACAGAGGAAAGCAATGAGTCCCAGGAAGGTAAATTAATTTGTTATATTAGCTATGTGACAGAACAAGGGCTCCAACCCATGATCTCAGACATAAGAACTTGCGCTTTAAACACTGAGCCTTGAGTGAGTTTATGCATGTACATGACTCACATTGGGCTAGGAACATAGTGGGTGTTCAATAAGTGTTGGTTTCATTCCCTTATAATTTCATTCTAGAGTGTGCTTGTTAGAACGTGCCTTAGTGTCTGACATCTCAGTGTCTGATTCAAATCTGCTATGCTTTTCTTTTATTCCTTATACCCTCTTCCCTTAATGCTCCTTCTGAACAACTTCAATCTCCAATCTGACCTTTACCTTCTTCTCTATGTAGTTTAGACTCCATGGCCCATCTTTTCAGTGACTTAGTTGTTATTACTCTATTTGATTTTTACAATTATTCTTTTGTTTACTTTACCTTATCCTGGAACAATTCAGTTGCTAGAGCTCAAACCCTTCTCATCTTAAAACAATGTCATTCTTGAATACACACCCTCCTCTAGCAACCATTTATTGCTTTCTTTTTAGGTAAAAGTCTTAAAACTTCTTGAAAGAAGACTTCACAGTTACTGTTGCTACTTCCTTACATCCTATTTATTCTTCCCCCAACTCCGTTCTGGCTTCTGATTCATTTCTAGCCACTATATTGAGAATGTACTATAAACTAAAGTGAGTTGAAACATTTGAAAAATGAGTAGGATGATGAAATGCATGACAAGTAGCAACAGAAAAAGCATTGGGCACATTCAGTCTGAAGAGAAAAGGACTCTGAATGCACATGATACCCATCTTCAAAGTCTGTGTTTTATGTTACCCCAACAGATGAAACTTGATGGGTGAATGAAATGCATAAAGAGAGGTGTCTTATATCAATGGAAACTTCTTTCTAGCAATCAAAATTGCCTAAGGGTAAATGGATTGATTGCCTTAGGAAAAAATATCAGATTTTTGACTAGAACACAAAAAGCATAGACTTGAGTCAAGTATAGACTTGGCCTTGGTTACATTCTGAGTCTTTGGCTAGAAACATCTTGTTAGGAGACTTCTGGCTAAGCAGCACATGAGGTCAATAATATCACCATTCTTCGCACCCTTTGTCAAGTTGCACCTCAGCCCCAAATGGGAGGCCCTTTAGTCACTTGTTTTAAGTGTGCTCTATTATCCTCTCATCTCCACAATTTTGGTGTTTCTATCACTCTCCTAATTGTCCTCCCACCACTACTGTTTGGCCAACACTTTCCCCTGTGTTCTCCAGGAACCATGACCCATATTAACAAATTACCCTATAGCATTGTCCTCTTCACTCAGTGTCCAATTTGCCTTCTGGTCTTTTTAAAAATCTGACATTATCTTGAAGCAAGTTTGTCACGTGTTTCACTCACCAGTGTCAGTAGCCCATTCTCTCATACCCTTGTACCACAGGGCCAAGACTCGGGTTCACCTTCTTAATCTTCAGGGCCCTTTCCAAACACGTACTCTTTAACTTTCCAGAAACTGCTTCTTTGAGAGTGCTGTCATCCAACTATACAGCTGTTTCTGCCTTTTGGGAATCTCCTCCACATTTTCTGAATATACACTATTCAGCCATAAAGACTATTTCAGTTTGCCAGAGTGATTTTAATACATACCTTGCTGAGTAGTCCAACTGGTAGCCCTTCAGTTCCTTGCTCTTCTTAGTCCCAGCTTCTTTCACCTCTGCTGCATTTCAGAAGCATATTTCCAAGATTATGTTCTAGATATTTCTCACACCTATCATTGAGCTGACTTGTACCAAAAACATGTTTGGTTAATACATCACTCTTCTTTAGTTCCTTACTCAGATTCACTGTAGAAACTTAAACATAAACATCTCAGTGTCTGATTCAAATCTGCTATGCTTTTCTCTTATTCCTTTTACTCTCTTCCCTTTATGCTTCTTCTGAACAATTTCTATCGCCAATCTGACCTTTACCTTCTTCTCTATGTAGTTTAGACTCCATGGCCCATCTTTTCGGTGACTTAGTTGTTATTACTCTATTTGATTTTTAAAATTATTCTCTTGTTTATTTTACTTTATCCTGGAACAATTCAGTCACTAGAGCTCAAACCTTTCTCATCTTAAAACAATGTCATTCTTGAATATACACCCTCCTCTAGCTACCATTTATTGCTTCCTTGTTAGGTAAAAGTCTTAAAACTTCTTGAAAGAAGACTTCACAGTTACTGTTTCTATTTCCTTACATCCTATTTATTCTTCCCCCAACTCCATTCTGGCTTCTGATTCCAACACTTCACTGCATCTACTTTCACTAATAACTTCATTGCCCTCAATATTACCAGGCCCAATGACACATTTGTTGTGCTTATCTTGCTTCATCTCTATGGCAGTTGCAACTGTTGAATATTCATCCTCTCCTGAAACCCTAGTTCTTCCTGGCTTCTGTGACCCCTCTCTCCTGACCCTTCTCTCCTAGAATTCCTCCTTTCTCTCTGATTTTTCTGTACTATCTTCTTCCTGTGTGCTTGTTTCTCCACAATATTGTACTTTATATTATCAATTAAATTATCTTCCTATATATGCTCTCTTTTTACACACACACACTCCCTAAAGGATCTTTTTTTTTTTTTTTTGAGACGGAGTGTTGCTCTGTCGCCCAGGCTGGACTGCGGACTGCAGTGGCGCAATCTCGGCTCACTGCAAGCTCCGCTTCCCGGGTTCACGCCATTCTCCTGCCTCAGCCTCCCGAGTAGCTGGGACTACAGGCGCCCGCCACCGCGCCCGGCTAATTTTTTTTTTGTATTTTTAGTAGAGACGGGGTTTCACCTTGTTAGCCAGGATGGTCTCGATCTCCTGACCTCATGATCCACCCGCCTCGGCCTCCCAAAGTGCTGGGATTACAGGTGTGAGCCACCGCGCCCGGCCAACAAATCTACTCTCAAGCAAGCAAGAAAAGCTCCAAGCCTTGCATGAGGAATTCACCTCCATAGCCCAAACACTTCCCACAGGCCCCACCTCCCAACACCACCACACTGGGGATCAAATTTAAACAGGAGCCTTGGTGTGGACAAACAAACAGTATCCAAACTATCTTTTAGCCATCATCATTCATCCATCATCTTTCCACTGAAACCTTCTTCTCTTCCTTTACTGCCCATCTCAGGGTATGGCACCATGTTGTCCTTGCCAGAAATGTTGAGAGCCATTTTGTATTTCCTTTCCCCGCCCCCCCACCCCCAACATCTACTCAATCACCAAAGTGTTCTTTCACTTATTCAAAAAAATTTAAAAACATGTTATGTACTACTACAGAAGAAAGATTCATATGGGGCAAATTATACAAGAATGTAGATGCAATATTATGAAAATGTGTAATGTATTATCTTAGCACAGTCTGATTGAGTAAACCTGCCTAATGCCTCCAAGCACATCTTCTCTTCTTTCCTTTTTCACAATCCTGTCTGTTTTTCTTCTACTTTGTTGCAGTAGCCTCTTGTTCTATACAATCTGGACCCTTTAATCTACCTTCCTCAGAGTTGTCAGAGTGACCTTTCTAAAATGCCATTTTGATCATGTCACTAGCTGACTTTCAAACCTTAAATGGGTCTCAAGGCTGTCATGCTATAGTTCACAGTTCATAGCTTAACATCCAAAGCCCTTCACACTGAGACTCCAGGCTTTTTTCTAACCTTATCTCAGACCCTGTTTCACTTGTTTTTATTACTTCCTTATAGGATGCCTGTATTCGTGCATTCTTACGCTGCTATGAAGAAATACCTGAGACTGGGTAATTTATAAAGGAAAGAGGTTTAGTTGACTCACAGTTCCCCAGGGCTGGGGAGGCCTCAGGAAACTTACAATCATGGCAGAAGGCAAAGGAGAAGCAGGCATCTTCTTCACAGGGCAGCAGAACAGAGTGAGTGCAAGCCAGATGCTTATAAGATCATCAGATCTGGTGAGACTCACTCACTCTCAGGAGAACAGCATAGGGAAAACTGTCCCCCTGATCCAATTACCTCCACCCTTGGTCCCGCACTTGACAGATGGGGATTATGGGGATTACAATTCAAGATGAGATTTTGGATGGGGACACAGCCAAACCATATCATTGCCTTTGTCCTGCAATGTGTGAGGTTGTCTCATACTTCTAGACTTTCTTTCTTATGATTACCTTCTCATAGAATACGCCTTCAGTCATTATGTTCATCTAGCTAATTTCCAGGAAGTCTTTCCTGATAACCAACTGCCTCAAGTCTTTTTGAGACATCCTTTCTTTACTCTCATATATCCTTCCATATTACCACTATCATGGCAGTTATTATTCACCAAGCATTTATTGAGCACCATTTAGTATACTTTAATTTACCTGAACTTTTCCCTACCACACTATGAGCTCTTTGAGAGGACAGAGTATATTCCATTTTAGGTTAAAGTCCCAGAAGCTATATAAGGCCTGATATACAGATAACATACAATAAATATATGTTGAGTGGGTGAGCTCCTATCAAAGAGTTACTGAAAGAAGTATGCCATATACTGGAACTTAGTGGAATGCCCCATAGCCTAGTCACTAGGACCTCTGGTTCTAGAGCCAGGCTATTTACATGAATGATAGATTAAGTATTTATTAGCTCTGTATCCTTGTGTGTTTACCTAACCTCTTTAGAGCTCCATTTCTGTAAAATGGAGACAATACTAATCTCTATCTTATAGAATTGTTAGAAGATTACATGAATTGATACATGTAATCACTTTGAACAGGATCTTCTCATAGTAATAATTTAATAAAGATCATCTATCGTTGTAACCAGAGACCCAACATCCACAGAATGACCACTTCATTTTTGCACATTAAGTTTTGCAGCAGACATCTTGTTGATCTAGTTCATCTTCAATATTCCTGCAAACTCTGAGGCTGTATGTATTTATGATAATCAAGTCATGCATTTCATTTGTATTTCAGTAATTTGGGTTATTATAAGCACTCCCAGGTTCATTGCAGCACTATTCAAAATAACCAACTTATAAAATCGACTGAAGTGTCTATCAACAGATGAATGGATAAAGGAAATCTGGCACATATACACAGTAGAGTACTATTCAGCCATAAAAAGGAGGAACTCTTGTCATTTGTAAAATTTGGATGAACATGGAGGGCATTATTCTGAATGAAATAGCAAGGCACAGAAAGTCAAATACTACATGTTCACATTCATGAATTGAATCTGAAACAATTGAACTCATAAAAGCAGAGAGTAGAATAGTGGTTACAGAGGCTGAGGGATAGAGGGGATGGGGACATGAATGGCAAAGGGAACAACACCTTAGTTAGGAGAATGAGGGGGTTTTTTAGATCTGTCACAGAGTATGATGAGTATAGTTAATAATGGCATATTGTATATTTCAAAATCAGAGAGTAAATTTCAAATACTCACCACAGAATATGTGTTTGAGGTAATACATATGTTAATTGGTTTGATTTAATTATTCTATTAGGTTTATGAAAGGAAAATATCTTGAGCCCCAAAATCACTAAGCAAAAGGGAAAATTCTAGCTAGGAACTGCTCAGGGCAAATCTGCCTCCCATTCTCTTCAACGTCATCCCTCTGCTCACTGAGATAGATGCATATTCTGATTGCCTCCTTTGGAAAGGCTTAAGCTTATCAGAAACTCAAAAGCAGGCAACCATTTGTCTTTCACCTTCCTGTGACCTGGAAGCCCCCTCCCTACTTCGAGTTGTCCCCACCTTTCTGGAAGGAACCAACATACCTCTTACATATATTGATGGACGTCTCATATCTCCCTAAAATGTATAAAACCAAACTGTGCTCCAACCACCTTGGGCACATGTCGTCAGGACTTTCTGAGGCTGTGACACCGGCGTGCACCCTTAACTTTGGCAAATAAACTTCCTAAAATGATTGAGACTTTTCTCATCATTTTTCTCAATTGACAGATTGGTGCAAAAGTTATTGTGGTTTCTGTCATTATTTTTAATGGCAAAATCTACAATTGTTCTTGCACCAACCCAATACATTGTATTCATATCATCACATCGTTTTGTACTTCACAAATATATACTATTATAACTTGCCAATTTAATATAAAAAATAAATTTAAAAAAAGCATATAGCCTCAGTTGTAAAGTGTACTAAACTGTTCTTGGTGGAACTGTGGCAAGATTGAGAGTAAGCTTGATCTGCTATGTGCCAAAGGTATGGATTAATATGCCTAGGCAGACCTCATTTCTTTCTTCCTTTCTCATTCTCCAGGAAAATTATAAATCAGTTTCTTTCAAAGCTCAAAGGCATGGGGAGAACTCAGGTATGATTTAGGTAGGTCTCCATAACCTAGGTCTGACCTTAAGAGCAGGAAGAGTCTTGAGACAGTGTTATAATTTGATGCGTGATGTGCAGTCAAATAAGCATTCCTACATTTTTAGTGGTAGAGCTAGAAATCAAGACCAGACTCAGTCCAATCCAAGAAACATTTATTGAGAATTTGACACATAGCCCTCGACTGTAAGATGTAAAGGCAATGTGGTATAGTCCAAGCTCCTGGGGGACTCTGAAGAGAGAAAAGGATAGACAATGAAACCATTATGATACTGTAGGAAGTGAGTTCTAACACAGATGACAAAGACTAACAGAATTTACTATTGTGGGACAGAGGAGTGAACTTAAATCATGCATTCAGGGAAACAAAATAGTATATAATTAGAACAAAGAATGATTCGTAGATGCTTGCCAGGCATGAAAGAATTAGAGCAAGTGGAACAATGAGATAAAAGCACAGAGGCATACTACATGCGGTTCAATGAGTATGGCGGCATTCAAGAATACATTTTGAATGGCAAAGAAATAGGACATAAGGCCAGAAGAAGAGGGTTTTACATCTTACATTAATGTATTCTGGTCAGCACACCAGTGAAAAATTGGTGTGATAACCAGGAATCAGGGCAAGCCTATCATATTAGATGTTCTTGATCATGGTCAGAAAGATTTGACCACCGTTCACAGATCACAGAATCCAGCTTCAAGCTCAGGTTCACCAGACTCAGGAGAGTAAACTATTATTTCCAGTCCTTCAACTAGTAGAGAGAAATTCTTAATAGTCAGACTATGTTCTCACTGGTTTTGAGACCCAGCAAAGATGAGGCTGCAGGTGACTAGTGGTTAGCTAATGTCTCTGGACAGAGCAGTCCCACATGGTGCTACCAAAGTCTTGCTTTGCTAAAACGTCTCCAAGTGAATCAAATTCACCAACGTTATTTACATGGCCCCCTAGTATGCTGCACTTAACTTGAAAGTTTTTTTATACTAATGATTTCTGACTTCTATTTTGAAGATTTAAATATTCTGCATTTGGAGACTCATATTTATTATATTAGGATAATATAGTCTATGATACGGGCTGAGGAATTGATAAATCTAAAGGATATCAATTTTTAGGTTACTTATGGTTAAAGAATTAAACATCTGAAAAATAATTTTTTCCTTTGTTTTCTGAACTAATAGTTATCTGATAGTAGGCAGTAAGCATATATGAGAACAAATTGGCTAAAAGACTTGGTAACTGAATCATCTTCACTGCCATTTTGCCACTGGTTCTCATTAAACTTCTCTTCCATTCTCTGCTGCACAGCATTTCTACTCATAGGAAGCTAACCTACTTATCAGTCCCTACCTCTGACTTGCTTGTTTCCACCTTTGTACCTCGTTACCCTTCCTGGATAGCTTTTCTCCCACCTTTATACTGGATGGGAATCTCTTATCTGCTAATGCTTCAAAGAAGTCTTTTCCAGATCACCTCTGGGCTCTGCTCACTGATGACTAAGGATCTGCATCCATCAACTGTGAGTTTACTCTCAGATTCTTTCCTACCCGCTTTCTGCTTTTCTCTGTATTTCCGGAAATATTTGTCAGATTCCCTTGACCTCTGATTTCGAAGTCAAGCCAATGGGAGACATTAGTGGAAGATTGGAAGGTGAGCTGAGGGGAGAATGTAGGGTGTCCCTCCTCATCTTTCTCCATCCTGTGGCATCTCTGGCAGCAGCAGGGGGTCATATCTCTACTGTGGAATCAACTCCATGAGCCTGACCTCTGTGCTTTCTGTTCACACTGGACAGTCCTGGCCTCTGGTTCTCCCAGCTTTCTATGGCTGATGCTCTCTGAATTGACTCACTGTTTGTCTTCAAGGCTTTTCCTTTGTCTGGGTTACCAAAACGCTGAATAATATAATGTATTTTTATTTTTATTATTTTTTATTTTATTATTTATTTATTTATTTATTTTTTAGAAGTAGTTTCACTCTTGTTGCCCAGGCTGGAGTACAATGGCGTGATCTTGGCTCATCGCAACCTCCCACTCTCGGATTCAAGTGATTCTCCTGCCTCAGCCTCCCGAGTAGCTGGGATTACAGGCATGTGCCACTACACACTGCTAATTTTTGTATTTTTAGTAGAGACGGGGTTTCACCATGTTGTCTGGGCAGGCTGGTCTCGAACTCCTGGCCTCAGGTGATCCACCTGTCTTGGTCTCCCAAAGTGCTGGGATTACAGGCGTGAGCCACCACACCTGGCCTTAATATATTTTTAAATATTTGTAGTATGTGTATTCTATATTGACTGCAAGTTTCTTTATAAATCTTTCCTTTGAATAAGTGGACACATTTTATTATCCCTACTCAGGTTTTTAGTCACTTAAAGAAGGAAATGCATATCTGTAAATTCATTACTTAGACCGTTTCCTAAACAAAACCTAGCCTAGTGTTCTTTCTGAATGTAGTTGGTTTTAAATTTAAAAATGACTAATGTTCGTGTCCCCTTTATCTTTGATTTAGTTAAGATTTAGTTACTTTCTAAGATTTACTTTCCTTTACCACATTAGTCATCTACGTTGAACGTAACACCAACAACAATAAACCACCTCAATTGTACCAAGGAAACCTAAAACTTGCAGCCTATTGACTGATAATGAGTACAACTTGAATAGAAATGGGGCAGGAAATACAATCGATAATACTATAAAGTACATGAATATTCATGTGTCAGAACCATCTAGAAGATATTTTTGCTGTTATTCAGTTTATAGAATTTTGTTTTCAGATTTATTAATTCATTCAATAAAGGTTTTGGGGTTTTCGGTAAATACTTGATAAATGCCAAGCACTGTTTCTGTTGGTACTAGGGATATATAGCAAAGTATAAAAAAGGCAAAAATCTTTGCCTTTCAATGTATTCTTTATATATTCCTTGATCTATATAGAGGTAAAATAAATGAGTAAGAAACAAGACGAGTTCAATAAAACATAAGCCTAGGATTTAAACTGGCAATTTGCAGAAGAACATTAACAATAACCACGTGGGGAAAAATCATCTTTTAGTAGTGAATGCAGATTTTTTTAAATAAGATATGTTTCCACTTTTAAATCAGAAAAAATTTAATTATATGTATAATTTAAGAGGCTCCTGAAGCTTGTGACTTGCAGGCAGTTTGTTACTAGGGGCTGTACTCTTAATATCCCACCACAATAAAATGCCTTTCTGTGAAAAGATGCAAGAATGTTCATTGAAACATCATCATAGCAAAAAAAAAAAAAAAAAAAGGCGGGAGAATTTATAGAAATGTTCAGAAACAGCAGATGGTTTAAGCAAACTATGACAATGCAACAGAACACTATGCTGCTTGTAAATTATTATTTATTGTACTTATTGACAGGATATATTGTTACTTTTTAAAAGTGTGCTCAAAAATATGCATTCAGCAGGATTCCATTATGAGGAGAATAAGATTTTAATTGTTTGTTTTGTTTGTTTATCTGTTTTCACTTATATTTTCCACAATGAAAGTAACTTGGTTTAATGATAATTATATACTGTTACATACTTGCAACAGATCGGCCATGTGTGGCTCTTAAAATCAAGTTTCTTTAGCTGAGATTGGGTAATAATACTACCTTATTCAGAAGTCTGTCTTATTAAGGCTTTTTGACTGGGTGTGTTACATTTTTAACATGAATCAATTTAACATAATTATCTTATATATATTTTAAAGGGCCTGGAAGACAAGTACCTTTCTAAGCATACCTATATAGTTTGATTGCAAAAATTCTTAAAATAGCTTTAACCCATTAAAACCTTAAGAGGATTACACAAGCTACATTAGTGCCTGGACTGCAAAAAGCCATAATGAACTTAATATTATTGCTTTCCCAAATATAGACCAATTCTTAATAGACTATTTTACAATGGGAAGTGCCTTTAGGGGTCAGTATAACAAAATTAAGATCAGTTTATATAGCCTTACAAAAGGTCTGGTGGCAGCATAAAAATGTCCAGTGTAATTATTTGGGAGTTCGTTAGCTCACACATCATTTTCCTTCCCAGGCTTGGTTCATAATGAAGTGGGCTGACATATCTCTGGCCTTTCCTTCAGAAACTGCATTTGTGTTGTGCTGTTTCTCTAATAGAAAATGCTACTTAAATTTATCTTAGTCAAAGTCAAACTTAAAGTTGTTGGAACTGAGATGTGAGACTGATTGGTCAATTGTCTTCAGGTATTTAATGTGAAACTAGCTACGGAGGTAACTTTTTTCTTTTTCTTTTTTCTTTTTTTTGACAGAGTCTCACTCTGTTGTCCAGGCTAGAATGCAGTAGCAAGATTATGGCTCACTGCAGCCTTGACCTCCTGGGCTCAAATGATCCTCCCACCTCAGCCTCCCGAGTAGCTGAGACTATAGACATGTGCCACGCCACCATGCCTGGTTAATTTTTTTTTTTACTTTTTGTAGAGATAGGGTTTCACCATGTTGCCCAGACTGGTCTCAAACTCCTGGACTAAAGTGATCCCCCCACCTCGGCCTCCCAAAGTGCTGAGATTACAAGTACCAGCCATGGCAGCCAGCCAATGAGATACATTTTAAAAGAGCCATCATGTGCTAAAACCCACTGGGCATGAGACCCCCCAGTGACTTTCTCTCCTTTATAATCTTCTTTCCACAGTCCAGATTTAGACCCCTGCTGCTCAATGGGTAGTCCATTTGCTGGATTGTCTCTTTGCATCTTCAGAAGCCTGATTACTTGTAGGTCTAGTATCCTCCGTATCTTCTCTCTTAATTCAAGGCTGGATTAAGCAGACACTATTGGTATCACATAGCTTAGCCTTCTTTAGTCTAGTGCAGTGGTTGGCTGAATAATTTTAGGCATCTGAGAGCATGTGCATAGCATTGAAAGGGCAGATTTGGTAAGCAGGTCCTTTAGCGATATACTTTAGTTGGTTTTTCTACGGTAATTTTCATGGGCCGGAGAAAGTGAACTCCTTCTTCAGTGCTTTGTTTAAAACAAAACCCAAAAACTATATTACAACACAGCAGAATGACTTTGTGTCAATAAACATAATGCTTTCAATTTAATAGAAAAATACTTTTGAACATGCATTTTATATGCTGAGTTATTTCATATTTGTAGGCAAAAAAATTTGAGATTGTGTGAGTGGTTCCATAATTCATTTTCATAGCAGTGCTCACCATAATTTGGAATTGCTTTCCAGCTAAGAGAAAACTTGCTCAAAGAAGCCTGAAAGAATGTTTGTTCCTACAGTGGTGTAAAAAAGACCTATGTCCTTAATACTCTGGGTTTTCTACTCTGGTTTTTGTAGAAACTACTGCAAAAGTTGAATTATGTGAAGGCCTAACGATGTGTTGAGGTTGTTGATTAGAGTTGAGTTTAGCTTTAAATATTAAACACATTTCTGCTTACCCTCAAAGTGAAGAACTTCCAGAGTCTTGAGATTTGGATGTTAATATGCTTGAGAAAAAGAAACAATTACTTTCAAAAATGACCTTCTTAACAATTTCTGACCAAATTTCTTATCCCTCCTACAGCTTCTATGTTGATTACTTTGTTTTCCAAATCTAAGGGAAAAAATAGATTAACACGAATAAATGAATTTATCTTTATTAGTGTACTGTTAGCCTACCAGCGAGAACACTGGTCCCATTATTAATGTGTGTATTTAGAGGGAAGTTTTTTTTTTTTTTTTTTTTGGTTGTTTTTACTTGACAAACTCTATATCAAAATGGTGAAAGTTACGCTTAGCTTTCAGTGCTAAAACAAATGTAGCTCGGTAGGGAAAAAGCATAGATTTTAAAGTAGTCACCAAAACCCAGGATGTGGAATGTGAAAAATCCCTAAATTTCATCTTTGGCTTTTTCTTATGTGTCAATTCATGGGTGAAGGGTACATGATACATAAATAGTCTGTGCTGAGTGAAGCAGTTAATTAACATACCAATAGTATCCCACTTAATATTAGTCAATGGAATAGCTTCCCAAAGGAAGAATTGGACTGTACTTGAAGTTATTACTTGAGTCATTTAAACTGACATTGGGCAAGGCATCAGAGCACAGGCTATAGGGAATATACCTTCATCAACAGAGTGAAGGGGCAGAGATGCCTAAGAAAAATAAAGATAGATTAACTACCTCAAGGTTTTTGTTACAGTTTTTATTTTTCTGATGCTGTGAAAATAAAATTTAAATCATACATAATTTTATATTTTTATACTATTATTGTTATATAGTATTACCTAATTTTTATTTAATGAAATACATGAGGCAGATAACCTGTGGGAGAAATTTGTTTAGGTCTGGCAGCTTAATCGGTTTGACTGTTTTGAGATATTCAAAATGAGATGTGTACATAAAATTTGACTGCATATGTAATTATTGTAAATAATGTTTTATCAGATTTGTTATTAATGATTCCCTTAAGATTTAAAGGTTCAACCACTGTATTATTCCTCTACCATTATGGTGTGTCCCATATAAATTACTTAATTCTAGGCATATATTTCTATTTCTTAGAAGCTTTATAGAAGTCCCATAGTTAAAACAATCCATATTGGAATGTTAGTGGTAAACCTCAGTTGCATAAATAATTGTGATCTTGTATAATGAATAATTTAGTCATACTTTAAAAATAATTCATCAGGAACAACATGTGAGTAGGAAACACAATGAACTGCTAGCCTGTGAATGCTATCCAGATGCTACTATGTGCAGATTGTTGCAGCTTATTACATCACTTTGTTAACTACACCTCCTTGCCCTTCTAGGCTCCATCCAAAACCAATGGTTGAAGGAAATGATCGTATTATCATCATCACACTCAAGTTTAAATAGCTTATATTTGAATAAATACAGTTAAGTCAGTGGTCAGTCTTCAGCAACTAAATCTAGAACCTGGGCACAGTGCCAAAGTTGTAGCCAATTCCCAGGCTGCAAGTTAGTCTAATATAAACCAGCACCACTTTTGAGTTTATCTATCTGCACTCTTCTAGTCTGAGGTCTAACTTAGTGGTCCTCAACGCGGGGGAGATTACATTTAGCAGTGCCTGGAAACGTTTTTGGCTAGTGCACCGGGTGAGAGAGGAGCTAGTGAATAAAGCCAGAGAGGCTGCCATACATCCTACAATGCCCATGACAGCCTCCCACAGCAAACATTTTCTGACCCAAAATGGCAGTCATACCTAGGATGAGCAAGCCTGGAAGTAACTCAAAGGCCCCCAACCTTTTATTGAAGAAAAATGAAATCTTGAATGATTGTAGGGTTGTATGCACTTCTTTTAAGCTATGAGAAAATCTTGTAAGAGAATCAAAGTTCAGCAGAAAGCTTTGCAATTCTGGATCAGAGATGTATAAACTCAGGCTAAGAGAGACCTAACAGGCGGTATAAATGACTTAAGCAGTTGGGGTGGTATTGCCACATTCTGGTCATCTTAAGGGAGCAGCTACTATCCAGCTTTAGGAATTTGTAGCCAGGCAGGAAAAAACGCCTACTGATATCAGAGCTGCTCATTTTTCAAAATAATCCAGAAATCTATATTTTTATGTGAAAATCCCCTGCATTTTAAGTATTTCTAACTAATTCTATTTTAATCACTAGGAATGCCAAACAAAATGCACCTAGGGATCAAATTTAGTTTTTCTGGCCACTAGTTTTTTTAACCTCTGTTCCCAGTTCTGACTGCCATGGGACTATTTGTTCATTCATCTCATTCACCTAACAGACACTAATTGAATACCTATTATGTTGATAGTGTGGAGGATAACTAGGATTATGCAGGCGCTCATAGAATTCTTGGTTTTTCTGAAATGGTGAGTTTAGTCTTCACTGTGTGTCTTTCACTGAGGATCAAACTAACTCTTTATGATTCTAAGTAATGTGTTTTTAATTGATTGATTGACTGATTGATTACTCTCTTTCCATTCCCTTAGAAGCTTTTCCTTTTAAAGTGGGAACATACACTTGAGTATCTCATTTCTCAATTGATATTTAGCAACTCATAGCAACCCAGGGATAGTGTTTGCAAATTAAAAGTACTACATTTAACAGAGATTTTCTACTCGACAATTCATATTCTTAGTTCCTGTTTCTTTCCCTTTTCTTCAACCCTTATCCTTAACTTAATGTCCACTTCCATTTACCAACACTAAATTAATGATTAAAGGATTTAGGAAACTAAGCATTTTAAAAGTCCTTTAAAGAGGACTTTTAAACAGAATTTGATGGAATGAGAATTTTGAAATTAAAACTATTGTCTTTTGCATAAGCCCTGCTATCCTGACTTATATGTGGTAGACCTTGTTTAGAAACTCATGCCTAATAACTTGTTTAATTCTTGCAACAATCCTGGGAGATTATCTTAATTTTGTAGATGAGGAAACTGTGTCAAAGATAAGTTAAAGAACTTGACAAGTATCACACAGCTGGTAAATGTTGCCAATTTGTGGGCAAAGCCCTTGCTCTTAATCACTATGCCATGAAGTACAACAGAATCAATATGTTGGCTTAAAGTTATGGTGGTGGGAGTAAGAATTAAAGAAAAAGTAAATTTTTCTGTACTTCAGTCTCCCCAAGTCTCTATAGAGTTTGATTTTGCTCTTTCTCCAGGCTCTAACACACACACACACACACACACACACACCATTTCACATGGAGTCAGACACCAGATCTTAAAAAAGTATATATTTTGGAAGAGCACAGCCACAGTCCTGAGTCTGTGAATAAAGGAGCTACATGGCTCCTCTCTTCCAGGGTGTATTAACATTGGCTCTCCACCCTCACACTGTGATGGCAAGAATTAGGTTAAGTAGTTTTTGTCTTCCACACTCTCTTCTAAGCAATTAACCCAATTTATACACAATTTTAACTATGGAATCTAACGTAATCATCAATAGCATTTGTTATTTAGTTCAAATCCAGATTACTGAATCTTTTATTTGCAAGTTTTAACAATTAAATTGCTCTATTTCCAAGCTTCATTTTTAGAAAATAAACATATAAATTTAAAAAATAGGTTAAGAGTAAAATCCTTGTACATGATTTACTTTCACATAATTTAGAAAAATCACACCTAAATGTACGATACATTCTATTAGTACAATAGAAACATTTATTTGTGAATCAGAATTTATTCTCAGGCAATTCAAGGAAATAATTTTCCTTTAAAAAAAGAAACCTTTTTTTTTGTTTGTTTTTACCGTAAACGGACTCATTAGTCATCTGCAGTGTTAAGGAACTAATAATTGTTTTTTATGCTTTTCAAGCCTGTTAATTTAGTAAACCTATAATTGAAAAATGAAATTTCACAATAAAATAATATAACTCCGTCCATGTTGCTATGGGAAAGTAAAGGGTTTCCTCCTACTTTAGTTTATTAATTTTCAAATAATGCTTAAGGGCTTGTTATGATAGTTCTTTACAAGGTATTAAATATATAGTTATCCAGACTGTCTGGGTTGAAAACTAATTACCATTAGAAACTGAAACACTTAGGCTTGTTATTTCTGCAAGTCAAACAACTCCAAATACAATTTTCATTTTAAATCCAACGTGCAATGATCCACAGCTATCCTCATAAGAAAAACCATAATCTAAAATATCTCTCTTTCCTATTATTGTTTGTAAACAAGCCAACCAGAACTTAAAATGTGGCATTAAAATGAAAGTTGAGACAGGAAGTGAAAGCAGTAATCTATAAGAACAGAAGAAATTTTAAATGGAGCTATGCAAATAATTTAAAAATTATTTGAATGCAACATTGCAGAAAAGGAAGACAGGAGTAAAACACATTATCAGAAGGAAAATATCCAACAGTATACAGACTAGAAAGTATGTTCAAGACTAAGTGAATAGGGCTTTCTATACTTTTCATTGGTACTGCTTACTTTAAACCCTTTTGCAGTGATATTTTTGAGGGAGCCACATTTTTAAAAGTAGTAAGAATAGGAAAGAGAAGTTTTACTATTCAAAAGCAAAATGGAAGCATAAGAACACAAGAAATCTCACATTTTAACTTATACTTTTAAATGATCAAATCATATTAGAGTTTTAATATTATTTCTAGACAGGATATTTATAAAGAAAAAGAGAGTGTCATTGCCATTGAATAATTCCAAGGCTTTGAAATTTTAAAAAAGTTAGAAAAATATAACAGACACAAAAGCACTGCAAATGCATGGTAAAATAGTGTTAATATTTCTCGATGTTTACTGAATGAATTAGGTGTCTATCAGGACGCATGACCTGTGTTAAATGAATGTGAGAAAACTATAAAGTTTGTGTTCGTGGGTTTGAGTAGGGTTATGGAGAGTTCAAAGGGGGAAAAAGATCGTTTTGAGAAGTCAAAATCTTTGGTTTAATGCCTGCAAAAACTGGCCGTGCTGCTTCAGTACTTGAAAAGACAGTGACAGTTGATGTATATTGTGTAATACCACACACAACTGCATGTGCACTGACTTTACCAGTCAAAAGCAATCTCATGAAATGAAAAATTGTTTAAAAGTTTACATTGGATTATATTTTATACAATTGATATGTTCTTGAAAAGTTATGGGCAAACATAATTATTAGTCAATGGAAACATTTTTCAATGTTTTAAAACATTTTAAAATAAATTCCGAGGTCTGTCTTTCTGTAAAAGTTATGTATCTCATCTTAATATTTATTCTATATTTTGTAAACTAGTTCATACTGAGACACACTTTCTGTTAATGAAGTTTTACTTGTCAAAAAGTCAATTCCTTTAGGACCAACTACAATCTGTCTTTGTTTTTGTTAATTTATTTCCATATTTTAACATTTTCTTAACTTTAGAATATCATTCCATGATGGCAACTATTAGTGTATAGAAAATAAAATGAGAAGAATAAGAAATGTGGCTGGGATGGTTGAATGTGGAATCATTAGCTTGGCAACTTCTTGACATTGTTGACATAAAGAGGTGGAATGTGTGGGAGAGACTGTTTGCCTTCCACCAATGTAGTCTCTTTTTCATTCCCAACTTTTCATAATACTTAGAAAATTGACACTGCTTAAAATACATGAAATATGAACCTCTGACCTTTTTCGATTTTGTTCCATTTTGATAACAGTAACAAAAACCACAATAATGAATAATAATAACATTAACATTTATTGAGCAATTACTATGTCACTATTTTAAACCAAACATATCCCTTCATTCTGACTCTGTCTTGATTCATTTTCCTCTACAAGAGCTCTACCATTTTGCACACAATAGAAATTTTATTCATTTCTTGTCTTTCTCTTCCCACCAAAATGTAATTCCAAGAATACCCCTAAGGAGATACTGCAGTAATCACCCTAGAAACTACCACTTCTATTTCTTTTTATGTGAGATAACTCATTTCCTGCAATGTTTTAGTAGAAACATTTTTGTTTCCTACAGACCAAGAAAAGCAGGGGAGGGTCTGATAAGACCCTGAAAGAGGAGTAAGTGTGGAATACAAGAATAACAGAAAGACAGCAATGTGGTTAAATTTTAGAGAGCGAGCTATTGGAAGAGGCAGGAAAGGCCAGAACACACTGCCTTTGATGTCACAGCAGGATGGAAAGGCTGTAGAAAATGAGAAGCCATCAAGGGTTTTAAGCATGAGAGGTATACGGTCTGTTTCATCTTTTAAACAAATCTTTCTGGCTACTTGGAGACTAATAGACTTGGATTAGATTGTGGGGGCAAAATAGACTCCTAGAGACAAGTTAAGAGAACTTTACAGTAAACCAGACAGGAGGTAATGGTGGTGGCAGCAGAAAAGGAACAGTACTCATACTGAAAATATACATAATGGTGGTAGAAACAACATGATTTTCCAATATATCACGCTAAAATAAGCTCCAGGAAGACAGAACTTTTATCTTTCCTGTCCATTGTGGATTTCTGGAATGTACATAAGGGCCTGGCACATAATAGAAGTTCAATAGCTATTTGTAAATCGAAGGAGTAAATAAATGAATACAAGAGCGGTGGCAGAAAAAGACATTTTTGCTTTAGGATAAGGAAATTAAAATACTATTTTCCAATTCATGAAACTAGAATGGTGCACCAAATTTTTTGCCTTTTCTAATAGAAAATTGTGTAAAGTTTTCAGTTTTTTTTTTAAAATTAAGAGCTAACCAAGGCCGGGCACAGTGGCTCATGCCTGTAATCCCAGCACTTTGGGAGTCCGAGGCGGGTGGATCACGAGGTCACAAGATCGAGACTAGCCTGACCAACATGGTGAAACCCCGTCTCTACTAAAAATAGAAAAATTATCTGGGAGTGGTGGCACGTGCCTGTAATCCCAGCTACTCGGGAGGCTGAGGCAGGAGAATTGCTTGAACCTGGGAAGCGGAGATTGCAGTGAGCCTAGATCGCACCACTGCACTCCAGCCTGGTGATGGAGCAAGACTCCATCTCAAAAAAAAAAAAAAAAAAAGAGCTAACCAGTATTCTTGGATTATGTCCTTCTTGACTAACGTTCAATGTCCTTTGACCACATATGAAATGGTGGTGATGGTGTAATAGAATAGGTTTGTGTTCTGTTTTACTTTTTGTGGCTTTAGAGGGGAAAATTAAAAGATGGAAACCCAATGTTATGCCACAGATTTTATATATATATATATATATATATATATATATATATATGACACTTGAAGATAGTATATATGTGTGATATATATGTGTATAATATAGATATGCAGTATGATATATGTATAATATATCTATGAACTATATTGATATATATGTATATCTATGAAGTATATATGATATATATGTATAATATATCTATGAAGTATTTATATATATAAATATATATATATAGAGAGAGAGAGAGAGTTTTACTTTACTGAAATCCCAATTTACTTTACAGGAATCCATTGTTTTAAAATGTCCCCTCTCTTCACATCCTAATTAAAACTGAAAATAGTAAAGTGCTCAGAAAATTCCTATACACATAGGGAGGGGTGTGTTTGTGTGGGGGGGTGTGTAACAGGTAACCACCTGTATTTAAATGAGCTCTGTTCTGTCCTTAGCAAGCAGGGGTAAGCATATGCTTCCTTAGACACTGGAAAAAAATTAATCCTCCTTTTTATGGAGAAAGTATTGTAACTCTAATATTTATATTGATGAAAGATTATTTTTCATGAAAATAAGCTTTGTGGTTTTTTTTATCTTTTAGGTATTGATTTTAATTCTCCTAATTTTGGCTAAGTTTAATTACTTTCCATAATAAAGTTCCTAACCATGAGACTGGGTTTCAAGTCACTACTGTAGTCACAGCAATGACCTCAATAATCAGAGTATCTCTCTTGTGGATATTTCTAAATAAAGCTGATGCAATTTTCTAGTCTAATTTATATAAAAGGAACTGATCTAGGCCAAATAATATTCTTATGTGTTTATACTGGGAGAAAATGTGGAAACCATCTTAACATTCAAGAACAGTTCTTACTCTACAGATTATGAAATACCATTTATATTGTATTGAAAATTCATTACATATTTTCTTTCGCTATTGAGTTGCAAAGTGAGGTCATATAATGTGAAATGGATTGTTTTATGTAACCAAATAGGTGAATGCCTGTTGGATATCCTTACATACAGATTATTCCTTTAGAATCAATTATATTCAAAAGTTTTATAGCATGCATTTTAAACCTTTATATGAATGTGAAGTACTTGCTACATAGACAGCTAAAATGGAAGTCATGGAATTCCCTTCACAGAACATGTAATTGTCTTGTTAAGGGTGAACCTGAGCCATTCCAATTTCTAACAGAAACATGCACACCCGTTGTAGAATAAAACATGTCAGTATTACTTGCCCCAGTCAGATTTGTTTCTTTCAGCCAAATATATTTATTTTCTCAACAGCATTGAAATCCATTAATTCATTTACATTCCAGATAGGAGCTTCAGTTGCCTGAATGAGTGACTACTGCTATTTGTAAATATCTAAAAAAAAAACAACCCATGTCTATCTGATAATAGGCAAGTTGAAAAAGAAAACCTTTACATATGGCTATATTGTTATTAATTGTTTAAAATGTAATTCATCTGGTTTTCCTAAAAAATTAAGGCAATATGGTAGCATGTACTCTTTCTTGACCAAAATATATTGCCTCTTACGTATAAAGTGTAACACTCATGCAAGTTTGAAGATAAAATATTAGACTTTTCAAAAATCTAAATAATATAATGCAAAATCAAGCTCCTTTAAGCCTTCAAGTGAGTGATTGCTCCTTTAATGACTGTTAATTGTCAAAATTATATTTTTGCATTCTTAATTTTAAAATAAAATCTCATGATCCATATCTTCAAGAAGTAAACACTCTTGTAGGCAAAAGAGCAATGCTTAGTTGCAACATAGGTAGAATTAGATTGCTAGGGTTGGAGTCCTTGCTCTGCTACTTATAAGAATTATGGTAGTGATTTTGATCAAGTTGCTTAATTTCTTTTTGCCCATGTTTTCTCATCTTTAGAATGGGAATATTAATAATACCTATCTGAAAGTGCCATAACACCTAAATGAGTTGATATTCGTAAAGTCATTGTTGAGTGCCCAATAAATTCCAAAAATGTTTGTGGTCTAATAAATAACATGCTTGCACCAAAATAAAACTAAATCACATAATAATAATAACTGTCATTTTCCAAATCGAGTGTTCTGAAATGATGAGAATCTGCTGAAATATGGCAATGCAATAAAAAGAGGAGTGAAAAACAAAACTAGACATGCTTCAAATTATCTGAAGTCTCTTCCCTACCATTAAAATCAGCATCACGGACTTTACTGAAGTACTTCCATTACCATTAAGTCAAGAGACAGATACAACCTCTGCAATATTGTTTTTCCGTGTTATGATTAAAACCATGATTTGCCTTGAGGTGTAATTGAAATCTATTTTACTGTTGGTATAAAATATTACTGACATAAAGAAATTAGGGGACATTGCCTTTCCTGTCTCTGCCCCAGACACTGCAGCGCCCAAGATGTTGACATCCAAAAAGAACTGGGTTGCCATTTATGAACTCCTGTTGAAGGAGGGAGTGATGGTGGCCAAGAGCGATGTCTTTATACCTAAGCACCCAGAACTGGCAGACAAACATGTGCCCAAGCTACATGTCTTGAAGGCCATCCAGTCTCTCAGGTGTCAAGGCTGCATGAAGAAACAGTTTTCCTGGAGACATTTCTACAGGCACCTTACCAACAAGAGTATCTAGTTTCTCTGTAATTAACTGCCCCCTGAGGTAATGCTGCCCCACTGCGTCACAGTTGTCCTGAGATTGGCAGGCCTTGGTCTAAAGGTCTGGAGGGCCAGTGGCGAGACTCACAAGAAGGGAAGCTGACAGAGACACCTACAGATGGAGTGGTGTCCCCCTGATGCCAACAAGAAAGCCAAGACTGGGCATGGGTCAGCACCTGAATTCCAGATTTGATCTTGGACATGATCAGCCACCTCAGTAAAGTTGGAGGAGATTATTTGTGTTGAATAACATGTAACCAGAAAAACTTAAAAAAAAAAAAAAAAAGAAAGAAAGAAAAAAATTAAGGACCTTTTAACACTATTCTACAGAAAAAGCAAAAATATTCTTAAAAATAACTGTTTTTGACTAGCAGGACAGCCCCCTAAGACATGTGGGGACATGTGTATAATTAGAGGGGTATATGATACAGGTTTAAATAGTTAAAGGCTGTAAAGCAAGCTGACAAACCATTAAGTAAAATCTATCTTCCTATCTTGACAAATATCCTGCATAGTAACCTGGATGATCCAATACAAATATACAGTAATAGAATCCTCAGTTCCCTTAGAGGGTCATAGCTGATTGCCATCCCCAGGGCATCTTTCCCTCTTTGCCTGCTCTTCTTTTCCCACCTGGGCCAGGGTCATGAATTGCCTCGGCATGAACTTGGAAGCCCCAGCCCTCACATCCATACTCAGTCCTCACCTCCCTCAAACATGTGCCCTGTCATAACCTTTCAGACCTTAAGTGACCTATTCAGTCCTCAATGAGGCATTCCAGGAATAGGCATTTTCCAGCTTCGTAAAAGATGACTTGGGTTTTTTGAGTAAGAATTTATAGGCATGCACTTGCAGATGTTCCCACAGTACCAAGCATTTCTCTCTTTGAGTGGAGAGGTACGTGGGATCAAGGCAAGGCCCTCCCATGCCTGGCTGCACTGACAAACAGGGCTACAATCCAAGAAGATCATTTTCATAAGCCACACATGAAATCAGCCTCCTTACTTGGCAGTCACACCTGGCATGCAACAGGAAATTTAAGGACATAATAAATATTTTCTACTAAAATACACTGTTTATACTGAGTGACCTACTGCTTCTGGATTATTTAGAGCAACATGGTTTATTTAGAACAACATGGGTCTGGCCCATTTTTCTTAGATCTTCCTTATTCCCACAAGCTTCACCTAAAACAGTGACCACATTGACATACTTATATAAGCTCAGTGTGGTCACTCATTCAGTGAGTCAACTATTCCATAAATATTTACAAAGCATTCTATTCTGTGTCTGAAACAGAAACAGCACTGAGGATATAGTCTTCCAAAAATAGACACTATTTCTGCCTTCTCCAAATTTAGAATCTAAAAAAATTAATAGTACAAAGTTAATCATGATGCTGTGTGATAAGTAATACCTAATGAGCTCTAAGAACACATAGATGGCTACCTTGAAAAACAAGGGAGGCTTTCCTGGGGGAAGTGATTTTGAGCTGAGACCTGAAGGAGAAGTAGGAATTAACCAAGCAAAGAGGTGGGGAAGATGTAGAACAGAGTAAAAGAAAACATGCAAGTTTAAGGAATCGGAGGCGTGCACACACACACACAAACACACACACACACGGACATATGGTTACAGTTGGTAGAATTTGAGAAGAGAAACAAGCGATGATTATGGTGTGCAGAAGTCAGATCATGCAAGATCTTGAAAATCATATAAAGATTAGACTTGACTCTCATAGTAGTAGGGACCATTGAAAGGTTTTACACAGTAGAGACATGATCAGGTTATTGCCTTAAGAAACTCACTGTGACATCAGAGTAGATAATTTATTAGAAAGCCTGTGTCATGATCTAGGCAGCATGTAATGGTGGTCTCACCCAAGGCTATGACAGGAGTTTTAGGAGGAAAAAAGAGCTTGAAGAAATTGGAAATTGAATCTTACTTTGCAAGCAGAACTTGCTAAGTGTGTGGAAGTGAGGGAACTGGAGAATGAGGAAGTCCTGGATTTCTGTCTTGGACACTTGAGTTGGTAATCTATTATTACTTAGAAGGGTTAGAAGAAGGTTCAGGTTGCAGAGGAGAGGAGGTAAGTGAGTTGATCCGTGTATTCTCAGGTATGCTGAGTTTAAGACAGTGGTGGGACATCTAAGTAGAGAGGTGTCTATGAGTCAGTGGAGACACATAGGAAAGACACTTAAGCTGTAGGAATAGATTTAGGTAATATCAGCATACAGAGAGTCAATGAAACCATAGGAAAGAACACAGAGCACCAGAGGGAATATGTGGGGTGAACATAAAAGTTGGAAAGCAGAAGTCTGAGCATAGACCAACAGAGAAAGAAGAAATTGTGGAATGGGAGATAAGCCAGAAAAGAACGTGAAAGACGGTGAAGGGAATACCAGAAGTGTTAAATGCAGCTAAGAAATGTTTAAAAATAAATTACAAAAAAGGAAACTTGAGCGTCTACAGTACAACACTTTATATTCATTCAGTCACACACTCATATGCACTAGTTTTTCCCACAGACTATACACACTTACAGTCATACCCACCCATACTTTACATATACACACACCCACATTTACAGACACCACACACAACTCCATAAACCTACAGGCAGGACGATACCACATATAGAAATTCTCATTCATTGAATTCAACCTCAGGTCTCTGATAGCATATTAACTATTAATTTAAAGATGTCTAGTGATTTTAAATGAGAAAGCTTTGGTTTATGGCTTAAACAAGAATATAGCTCAGTTCTCCATCTGTTAAGTGGGCACAATAATACTAGCATAGGGAAGTGTTGAGATTTAATTGATGTTTACACAGTGATTTAGGGGCCTAAGATGAAAGCTGCTATGCAATGCTATTACTCTTGGGATTGATGGTGGTGACTTACCTTAGCATTTGAGTATTGCAATATTCTAAACTACAATGTAATCCAGGATGATAAAATATATTATTAGATGACTTAGAAGTAGTAAGACTATGACTAAAATTTCCTGCTTGATGTTTACATTTCATTAACTTTTTGATGTCTACTCAGTTTTAGCCCTTATTTGTCATGCAGATTTCTTATTTTCTGCTTTGTCTTAACTTCTTACTACAATTTGGCTAAAAGGGACCTTGGGAATCTTCTAATTCGACTTTGCATTCAACAGATGAAGAAAATGCATCCCAAGCTTATGTTGTTTATCCCAAAATCACCCAGTTAGAATTTAAAATCAAGTTCCCTAACTTATGATTTTCTCTACTAGAGAATATTTCACAAGTAAGAAAATAATTCTGAAATTAGAATTCCATAACAGAAAAGGATTTAAGAAAATGTTGCCAACAACAACAAGATAAACAGATTAACAATAGCTATGAGAAGGATGAAATTACACTTCTTTTTAAAATTAACATAAGAGATACTTTAAATTTAATATTGAAAACAGAATAACCATTACTGAAGAAAACCAATACACAGTGGAAGCACAACAGGAGGATGAAAGTAATTAAAATTCATGAATTACAATTGAGTTATCCAGGTTCGTCTATTGTTAGCCTTGATGAGAGGAGAAAAAGTGTTTGCTCTGGATATCAGAAGATGTGATTTATTTTTTTCCAATAAATATTTTTTGAATTCATCTTATGTCCCAAATATTGTGCTAGGTTCTGAGGATAAAGGAGAGGGGGGAGAAAAAGACCGTTAAGATCACTGTTTTCATTTAGTTTATAGTGAGAAGGCAGTAAATAAGTTAACTAATAAAAATAATTTCAGATTTTAAAAAGTACTATAAAGAAAATGAACACTATTGTTTATCTGAGCTGCTAATTTAGATAGAACAGTCTAGAATGAAGGTGACAGTAGGCCTGTAACCTATAAGATGAAAAGGAAGGAGCCAAGTGAAGAATATGAGGAAGGGTGTTCCAAGCAGAGAGAATGACATGACAAGGACAAGCTTGGTTTAAAAGAAATAAAAACAGCCAGGCGCGGTGGCTCACACCTGTAATCCCAGCAATTTGGGAGGCCGAGGCGGGCGGCTCACTTGAGGTCAGGAGTTCGAGACCAGCCTGGCCAACATGGTTGAAAACCCATCTCTACTAAAAAGAAAATACAAAAATTAGTGGGGTGTGGTGGCAAGGACCTGTAATCTCAGCTACTTGGGAGGATGAGGCAGAAGAATTACTTGAACCTGGGAGGCGGAGGTTGCAGTGAGCTGCAACTGCGCCACTGCACTCCAGCCTGGGTGACAGAGCAAGCCTCCATCTTAGAAAAACAAACAAAACAGCAAAACAAAACAAGCTAGTATGTGCAGCATACAGTAAGTGAGAGCGTTGTGTGAGGGCACAGTTGGCAAGGCCCACATTGTGTTGCGCTGTGGAAGTGAGGTTAGGAAGTTTGGGCCTTAGTAGTAGAGGAACTATAGACGTGTCTTAATTACGGCAGTAAATGGGTAAATATGTTTTCGAAAGAGTGTTCTGATTATTGCACTGAGATTGGGTAGTGGAAGGAGCAACACATGAAATGAGGGAGAATTGCTCAGAAACATTTTTTTGGTCCAGATGACAGCTGATGGTAGCTTGGACTGAGGAGTGACAATGAGATGGAGAGAAATGAACAGGTCTATGGCACATTGCTGGAGCAGTGGATGTGACAAATGAAGGAAGAGAGGAGTAAGGATGATTTGGGGGTTGAGAGTTGAACAAGTAGGTGCACAATAGTGCTGTTTACCGGAGTGGAAAGACAAGTAGAGAAGCAGTTTTTAACTGGGGTAGTAAATAATTTGTTTTTGGCTTATTTTCAGTTTGAATATTTATTGACATCTATATGGAAACATCAAAGCAGCAGTTGGATATGCAAATCTTTAGCAGCTCAGGGGAGAGGGTATGAAATATATAAACTTGAAAGTTATATTCATATAGTACAATAGCAAATTTCTGAAAGATAAAGAAATCTTAGAAGATAATAGAAGACGACCTAGGAACTGAACTTTGAGGCTCAAAACAGGTAGAAGAAGCCACAGAAACAAAAAAACCAACAAATCAGACTGAAAGAGAGTAACCAGACAGGGAGGAGGAAAGCCAAGAGGATACAGTGTCTCAGAATTCAGTTGTATCGGAAAGGAAGAAATGGTCAACCATGTCCCACCCTTAAAGAGGTTGAATTAGATAGGACAGATAAATGTTGTCTGACTGGCAACATGGAGGTTGTTGGTGATCTTGACAAAACTAGTTTTGCGGTGCTGAAGATAAAATCAGACTTGTATCAACTGAAGAGAACAGTCCAGGGGAGCTGTGAAACCATGAGTACAGACGAATATTTCAGTAAATTTTTCAGTGCAGAACAGAGAAACGGGAGCACAGGTAGCAGAGCCATTGAAGCAAAGATGGTGTGTGAGAGTGTGTGTTGTGTGTGTTTGTGCGATTAGAGAACTAGATCAAGTGTTCATACCAATGAGAATGGTTTAATAGAGATTGTGCCTTAGATTAGGATAGACAACACTGTTAAGTATAATCCTGCATATTTAATTTTTGTGATTTGACAATTGCTCCTCCATGATGGTGCAGACATCTGGGGAGGGCGACATCTCGTAGAAGGCATGTGAAGGACTCTAAGTGACTACATTGTCCTGTAGCTCCCAATGATATTTATCTGAAAACTCAAGGAGGCTATATGGAGAAAATGGATGTATTAGTCAGACGTTTCAGTGCCTGAAAAATAAATTATTCTAAGTGTACCAAGCAGAAAGGGATTTAATATAGGGAATTATAGGGAATTAGATGCTTATAAAATAATTGAAGAGGACAGGGATTGGAGGAGAAAAAGTGTGAAGGCTGCCATACTATTGGCTTAAAAGTCATACCACAGTCATCTTGTCAGAAAACCACTGCTACCACCCAGCCATGAAGCTGGTGATATGTCATGAGAATGTCTACTCACTGCCAAGACTCACACCTTTCAGGCACAAGTATCCATACTCATGGTCACTGAAAAATGTCATCTTTTTCACCTCCCAATCTCACATTATGTTGTGTTTCTTTTTTTTTTTTTTTTTTTTTTTTTTGAGACGGAGTCTCGCTCTGTCGCCCAGGCTGGAGAGCAGTGGCGCGATCTCCGCCCACTGCAAGCTGCGCCTCCCGGGTTCACACCATTCTCCTGCCTCAGCCTGCCGAGTAGCTGGGACTACAGGCACCCACCACCATGCCCGGCTAATTTTTTGTATTTTTAGTAGAGACGGTGTTTCACTGTGTTAGCCAGGATGGTCTCGATCTCCTGACCTCATGATCCGTCTGCCTCGGCCTCCCAAAGTGCTGGGATTACAAGCATGAGCCACTGCACCCGGCCAACATCAGAAGTTTTAAAATGCATTTTTGTTCTAAAAATAATTTTTATTTGAAAATTTTGGTTCTAAAACAATCTTGGTATTATGTAGAACAGAACAAATAAAAAATCCTACTCCACTTATCTCTCCAAAAATAATGATTACTGAATTTTCCAATACATCCTTCCCTGTGTATATGAACAGTCATCCCTCAGTACCCACCAGGGGTTAGTTCCAGGATCCTTGGGGATACCGAATTTTGAGAATGCTCAGGTCCCTCATATAAAATGGCAAAGTATTTGCATATAACCTATGCAGATGCTCCCATATTCTTTAAATTATCTCTAGATGATTTATAACATCTAACACAATATAAATGCTATGTAAATAGCTGTTGTACTGTATTATTATTTGTGTTAATTTTTATTGTCCTACTATTATTTTTCACTGATTTTTTTCCTGAATATTTTTGACCTGCAGTTGGTCAAATCCACGGATACAGAACCTAAATACAGAAAATTGACATGATATACATAGTTTGATTCTGTTTTCTTTTTTTGTTATTGTTGTTATATAAGTGGGACAATACTATATTTATTCTGAGACATTCTCTTTTCTTCAGTTCACACATCCTGGAGATCTTCTCATGTAAGCACATACAGATTTACCACAATTCTTTTAATATATTTAATCTCATACATGGTGATGGATATTTAAGTTCTTTCCTATTTTTCACTTATTGTCACAGAACCTTGGGCGAGTCTTATACATATTTTGAACATCCAAAATGTACCTCAAGATCCTCCATTTCTCTTTATCTTTATGTTTTACTTCTACCACTGTAGTCCAAGTCACCCCCTCATCTGGATCTGTCTTCTAGTCTCCTCTCACTTCCGCTTTGGCTGATTTCCAATCTGTTCCCCACACCAAAGACATGAATATCTGATTTTGCCACTCCTTCCTTAAAATGTTTCTGGGACCTCTTGTGCTTATCACAGACTACCAGACCTGCATGACATGCACTCAAACATCTCTTTAGTCTCAATCATCTCAATCACCACCCCCACCCTCTGCCTGTGTTCCCTGTTCCCTTTCTTCCTCAAATGAGATGAGCTCTTTCCCATCTCTGGGCTTTTGCACACATTTCCACTTGAAGAACATCTTTCCCTGCCACTCTTCATGGAGCTTTTCTGGCTATGCACCAGCCAATGTCTGGCTCACCTACACTCTCGCTGCTTCAGAGACTCTTCCCTGTCTTGTCCATCTATGTTACAAATCCCTGCAATATTTCTTCACAACATCCAACATGGTACTTACCACAATGGGTAATTATTTGTGATTTTTTTTAATTTGTCTTACCCAATAGGCAAGTATATTTAATTCACTGTATTATCCATGACACTTAGCAAACATTCCAGTAACATAGTAGATGATCAATAAGTATTTACTGAATAAGTAACAAATATATAGGCTCCTAATTCCTTCTTCCCTCTTACTTTGCCATGTATTTCCCATCTAGAATCAGAGAGAGAGAGAGAGAGAGAGAGAGAGAGAGAGAGAGAACTGAGTAGCTGTCTGAACAATTAAAATGTTAGGGAACTTTTTAAGGCAATGAGACTGTTCTTTATCCTACTGTAATGGTAAACACATGACATTATGCATTTGTTAAAATATATAGAGCTGTACAGCACAAAAAGGGAACCCTAATGTAAATTATGTACTTTAGTTAATGTGTTAGTATGCCTTTACCAATTATAACAAAGTAATTCAAGATATTACTGACAGGGAAACTGAGGGTGGATAGATAAGAGCTCTCTGTACTTTCTTATCAATTATTTCTTTATATCTAAAACTGCTCTGAAAATGATGCCTATTAATTTTTAACATGCAGGGGAAGTAAAATGGACCCTAAAAAGTTGTTATTTCAAGCTCAGTTATGGGGGAGAAGTCTTCTCCCTTCCCATGCCCAATACTCACTACAGCTCTCATCTCATTTCCAGTTATTTTTCCTACCAGCTTCCTTATGAGTGATAAATGCTCTGGAAATTTAGATGTCCTTAAATTCATGTGCAGCCAATTTCTAGTAAAATAGATTGTGTTTCATAGATTATTTTTAACTCAGTTGTAAGGAATTCTGAACACACCAAATTTTTCATACAAGCAGTGTTATCATTTGAAGTTACATTGCCAAGCTAGGCGGTTTATTCCAAGGTGGTGGAGGAGGCCTTAGGAGGAGAGGAAGAAAGGAAGAAACTGTAATTCCAGTGCTTTGAGAGGCAGAGGCAAGAAGTTTACTTGAGCTCAGGAATTCAAGACAAGTATCGGCAACATAGTGAGACACCATATCTAAAAGAAAAAAAAAATTAAGGAAAAGTAGCTGGGCATGGTGGTGCACTCTTGTAGTCTTAGCTGCTTGGGAGGCTGGGACAGGAAGATCACTTGAGCCCAGAAGTTCCAAAGGAAGAAAGAAAAGAATAACCACTACAACTCCTAAACACCTGCTCTGTGCTAAACACATATGCATCCATGCATTTTATGTCTGCCCAGCAGTATTTGGAGATTTGAAAACAGTTACTATTATTGGCATTTTGTAGTTGAGGAAACAGAGATTTAGAGGGCTTGAAAATTTGTCCAGAGTTACACAACTTAAAAACTTAAAGTCTTTCAGAGAAGAGAATGGAAATATTTAGATTGAGATAGGAAATAAAAAACAAACTACATTCACATGCACAGAATAGTTGAAAGTCAAATTTTAATAATTTCAGCAATGTTTATATTCAGACTACTTTTGAAAATTCCCAGAGATTTTATAATTACTCAATATAATGTATTTTAAGATTAAAATTTAAAAATTATCAGTAAAGATTTTCTACAGCATTTGATATCTTTTTTTCTCTTGCCCTTTTCTAATAGTTGATAACAATTATTATCACACAAAGAGTAATTCTCCATGTGCATAAATGCATACCCTGAAGTGTCTCTTCCATAAACTCAAATATTTAGCCCAATACCACCAATAAAAACCTAGTCCAGACCATTGTGAAGTTTGCTCTGTGGGAAGAAAATTCAGAGAGGATTAATATGCCAGTTTGTAAAACAAAAACTCTTACCAAAAAAGAATTCATCCTTTTATTGGATGGTTTTGCAGAGTTTGTGGAGTGGTGCATAGTGTGGTTATGGTTTTGAAATGCTGTGATATGCTTTTCTGTTTGCATTTCCTTGTACTGACCTTCATGCATTCCTCCCAGAAGCATCCATGTACATATGGAAGCGGTGGTGTGAATGGAGGGGATTGGAGCCAGCTTAGATTTGTTATAGCAGGAATGCAAAAATAAAGAGTTACTATTCCGTTTCTGACACTCATAACAGGATTTTGCAGCAATACAATAATTTTAAAAGACAAATTTTGTTCAGAAAAAAACAAATTTTTGGAATCCTTTAATACTCATGAACGTATCAGGATGAATCCAAGAGGAATTATATCATGTGGTTTCTTCCAAAGAAGGGAGAGGAGACCTCTTCTTGCTATAATCTAAATGCAGAAACTTATCCTATAGGGAATCTGGTTATGACATAGAACGGTGACTTTCACATATTTTGACCAAAACCCTCAGGAAGAAATGCATTTTACCTTATCACTCAGCACACAGAAACAGGTATAAAATGAATATATAACCATAGCTAAATATATGTTTAAAAATAGAAATTAAAACTCTGTGAAATGATATTTAAAAGTTGATATGAAGGTAGAGAGAGGGATGAATAGGCAGAGTACAAAGAATTTTTAGGGCAGTAAAGTCTTCCGTGCGGTGAATACATGGCATACATTTGTCCAAACCCATAGAATGTGTAACACCAAAAGTGAACTCTGAAGTAAACTATGGACGTTAGGTGATAATGTTGTGTCAATAGGCCCATGAAATGTAACAAATGTGCCACTCCGGTGGGTGATGTTGATTGTGGGGGAGGTCGTGGAGGGGGTCATGGTGAGGGGTAAATGGTAACTGTACATACCGCTCAATTCTGCTGTGAACCTAAAACTGCTTTCAAAAATGAAGTCTACTAAAAAATTAACATGCCCTGATATTTTCTATTCTATTTATTATTATTATTCTTTTGTGACAGGGTCTCACTCTGTTGCCCAGGCTGGAGTGCAGTGGTGCAATCACAGCTCTCACTGCAAACTTCGTTTCCAGGGCTCAAGATCCTGATCCTCCCACCTCAGCCTCCCAAGTAGCTAGGGCTACACGTGTACGCCATCACTCCCGGCTAAATTTTTATTTTTGGTAGAGATGAGGTCTCACTGTGTCACCCAGGCTGGTCATAAACTCCTGGACTCAAGCAATCCACCTGCCTCAGCCTCCCAAATTGCTGGGATTCCAGGCATGAGTCACTGCCTCGCCTATTTCAGTTTTTTTAAATGAGCATGAGGCCTCAATTTGCTCAGGTGTTTCAAACTAAAATTTGAGAGGCATTGATCAGGTGGAAGGAAAAGCCTAAAAGTTGCCACCTCACAAAAGATTGTGAGGAGAAAAGAGAGATAAGTAGAATAAATAAAGCAGATGAGTAAATAATACAGATAAAGAGAGAAAAGCCCTTTTCCTCCGTATCCTCTAGGAACAGTATTCTACAGAGAAGGTGTGTTTAGAAACACACAGAAACACCTGAGGGAAATTCCAATAGCAGAGAAGCTTTTGTCTCACTTCCCATTTGGTATTCCTATGGAAGGTCATTGCCAGCCTGGCCTGCAGCACCCTGCTGAATTGACATCATAGCAAGCCAGGTGATACAAGATGGTTAAGAAAAGCAGGGGACCCTGCTCTGCTCCCCAGAGCTACCCTTAGGTCACATGTGGGCCAAGTGGGGCCTAGCCATTTTCACATGGACCCAGGAGAGACACACCTTACCTGAGGCAAACTAATAGGGGTGGGGGACATCAGTGGGCTTGAAGTGGGCCTCTAATGTAGGGCTGCAGGGAGGTTTACTGAGGTTGCTAATCATAGCTTTTCTAGCCAGGAGCAGTAGCAGCAGCAGCAGCAGTGGCAGCAGCTCAAGTGGAGTAAAAGGAGCCAAGGCAGACACCAAACTCTCAGCAAGTTAATGGAGAGGCCAGACTATAAGTTGTACCCACAGCAGACATTAACATAATAGCAAAGGTCAAAACTCATACCTCAAGGATCACACCAAACTTGTTTTTAATAGAAATGTCCAAAATAGGCAGGATGACAGTCTCCACTCATACACACCATCCAAATCTCCCATAGGTACATCCTTTTAGAAAAACCTAATCAATATCCAGAATGCTTGCTGCATCTAGGTAGCGTAGTAGTTAGCTTTCCAACACAGAAGATGAGTGAAATGGAAGTCCCAGGCATACGGAATGTAGTTTCAAAATTTTCTAAACTAATAATATTAATAATGATAATGTAAACTCAAAAGTATAAGAGATTGTGTCCATAAAAAGAGAAGTTATTGAATCAATCATAGTATGTCTAATAAAAATACATTAAAGCTATTGATATAAATATGGTGATTCATGTATGCAAGAATTCATTAATTCAAAAATTTTATTGAACTTTACTATTAGATTAACATTTCCACTATTAAATGGAGAAGTCTTAGGGTATAAGACCCCAAGCACAATTAAAAAAATCAGGACCCATGCACTTATGTCAAGCTGTGCCTTCCACAGATTCTCATTTAATTATCCAGACAAACTTATTACCCTCACTTTACAAATAATAGTAATAATTAGTCCAGTGTTAATTAACTTTTCCAGTGGGGGACAAAAGCAAGATTTAAATCCAAATACTCTGACTACACAATGGGAAATTACAGTAATTTAGTCTAAAATCATAGAAAACCTGTACTGTTTTGATTTATTCAAAGAATATCTCATAGACGATAAATGTGGATTTTCAATGTTCTGGTGTATTTCTATAGATGAACATTTTGAAACTTAGGTTGTGTTCTCTTTATTATTAAAGAAATGTTCAGGGTATTCTCTTTCCTAATTAGCAATTCCAATGAAAGTATGAAAATCTGTGTACAAGAAATAGCTTATTAATGGGTAACTAACTTTACTCATCTACCATTTAAAATTATTTGTTCAAAAATGTTGCTTACTTTTCTCTTCATGACTAATTCACAGCTAATGTGATCTATGAATATATATGCCATTTACATCATAAAGAGTTAGCTAAACAACCTTCAGATAATGAAATCACTATTACATAGGTACCCTATACTTTATTTTTTACTTTATTTCAGCCATGCATTTGAAAAAGAAGTCATTATATGAAAAAAGACACTTGCATACACATTTATAACAGCACAATTCACAATTTCAAAAATATGAAACCACTAAATGCTCATCAATCAACGGGTGGATAAAGAAAATGTGGCATATATATACCATGGGATACTACTCAGCCATACAAAGGGACACAATAATGGCATTCACAAGAAACTGAATGGAATTGGAGGCCATTATTGTAAGTGAAGTAACTCAGGAATGGAAAACCAAACATCATATGTTCTCACTTGTAAGCGGGAGCTAAGCTATGGGACAAAAATGCATAAGCATAATATAATAAACTTTGGGGACTCGGGGGAAAGGGTGAGAAGTGAGTGAGGGATAAAAAACTATACACTGTGTACAGTGTACACTGCTTGGGTGATGTGTGCACCCAAATCTCAGAAATCATCACTAAAGAACTTATCCACATAACCGAACACCACCTGTTCCCCCAAAACCTATTGAAATAAAAAACTTTTAAAAAGAAATAAAATACATACATAAATAAAAACATCACGATCAACAACAACAAAAAAAGTAAAGTGGCTTTCTCCATGTGATAGAGAAGAGGAAGTGTCTAGGAGGAAGCATTTGGGGACCTTCAAGTTTCTGGCAATGTCCTATTTCATGACCTTTCTGGTTGTTCCATGAGTATTTGCTTAATGATCATTCATTAGGCTGTACAATCTTATTTTGTGCACATTCCTATATGCATGTTATATTTCACAATAAAAATGTTTAAGGAAGAAACAAAAGAAAACTGAGAAAACAGAATAAAAAATAAAATAGAATTTTATTTCAAGTCAGTTTAGCTTGCTTGCTTTAAAAAATTATCTTAATACTGTACTCTAGAATCAAACATTATTGTTTGTTGTTTCAAATCTAATTGTATATATCCTTTGGAAATATCTGTTACTTATTAACAATTATTATCAGAGTAACCACTTTTACTGAGGCATCTGGGAAAACATTAGAAAAAGACCCAGTCCTTTACTGTGGGCAGTACTAATGTATTGGTTCTTCTTTTTCCTTTATATACTCTCTCTTTCCAGAAGTTAATCTGTTCTCATGACATCAACCATTTTAATGTCTTGATTTCTCCCAAATATATGTATATTTCTAATTTGTTTTTCAAAAGAGACACCTTGCTATATCTGTAGCCAGAATGTAGGATGCAGGGGGACCTGGAGGCCTTCTTCTGTATTGTTTTATGATGCATTCTGATACCCTTAGTGTCTGACTCACAGTAAGGATTTAACAAATATTTGTCGAATAAGCAGATGAATGAATGTAGCTTCTGAGTAAACATTTTCATTAATTTAATGACAAACAACTAATATATTTTTAAACAGAGAAATATAAATTATATATCTTTATGGTGTACAACTGATTTTTTTGTATTTATTTATTATTATTTAACTAGCTGATATACTCACATTTCACAAATCAAAACAAAATACAGTAGTGTCACTGTACAGTAGGATGACTTGTTAACTAAAGTTGTCCTCCTTCTTTATCACAGTTTTTGCTTTCTGCAGTTTCAGTTATCTGTGTTAAACCCTGATCTGAAAATATTCAATGGAAAATTCCAGAAATAAACAATTCATCATAAGTTTTTTATTGATACATAATCTTTGCACAAATTTGTGGGATACATGTGATAGTTTGTTACATACATAGAATCTGTAATGATTAAACCTGGGTATTTAGGATGTGCATCTTCTTAAGTATCTATTATTTCTATGTGTTGAAAGCATTTCAAGTCCTCACTTATGTCTATTTTGAAATTTACAATACGTTGTTGTTAACTGTAGTCGTCCTACTCTAACATCAAGCGTTAGAACCTATTCTTTCTGTGTAACTGTATTTTTGCACCCATTAGCCAGCCTCTCTTTATTTCCACCCCAACACACACCCACATCCTTCCCAGCCTCTAGTAACCATCATTCTCACTCTTTACCTCCAGGAGATCAACTTTTTAAGCTCCCACATAAGTGAGTACATGTGATATTTGTCGTTCTGTGTCTGTGTTATTTTTTAATGTAATGACCTCTAATTCCATCCATGTTGCTGCAAACAACATGATTTAATGCATTTTTACAGGTGAATAATATTCTACTGTGTAAATGTACCACATTTTCTTTATTCATTCACCCATTAATGAATGCTTAGTTTCATTCCATATCTTTGTTATTGTCAGTAGTGCTGCAATAAACCTGGGGGTAACGCATTCCTTGGATATACTGATTTCCTTTCCTTTGGATAAACATCCAGTAGTGAAATTGCTAGACCATATGGTAGTTCTCTTTAGTTTTTCTTGAGGAACCTGTACTGTTTTCCATAGTGGCTGTACTAATTTACATTCCCATCAACAGTGTATAAGAATTCCCTTTCCTTTACATCCTCTCCAGCAGCTGTAATTTTTTGTTTTTTTTTTTAATATTAGACATCCTAATTGGGATAAGATGATATCCCACTGTGGTTTTGATTTGCATTTACCTGATGATTAGTATTGTTGAACACTCTTTCATATACACGTTGGTCATTTGTGTGTCGTCTTTGTAGAAATATCTACTTTGATTTTTTGCCTAATTTTTAATGGGATTTTTGTTTTGTTTTGTTTTGTTTTGCTGTTAAGTTGTTTGAGTTTCTTTTATACTGTGGATAATAGTCCCCTGTTAGATGAATAGTTTGCAATTATTTTCTCCCATTCAAAACGTTGTCTCTTCACTCTGTTTTCTTTGCTTTTCAGAAGCTTTTTAGTTTGGCTATTTTTGTTTGGCTATTTTTGTTTTTGTTCCCTATGCTTTTGGGGTCTTAGTCAAAAAATCTTTGCCTAAACCAGGTGGAATATGTTCCCTATGTTCTCTTGTGATCATTTTATAGTTTCAGGTCTTATACTTAAGTTTTTAATTCATCTTGAGTTGGTTTTTGTATATGGTGATAAATAAGAGTCTAGTTTCATTCTTCTGCACATCCATATCCAGTATTCCCAGCACCATTTATTGAAGAGGGTGTCTTTTCCCTGATGTATGTTCATGGTGCCTTTGTAAAAAATCATTTGGCTGTAAATTTATGGGTTTATTTCTGTGTCTTCTATTCTGTTCCATCAGTTTTTGTGTCTGTTTTTATCCCAATACCATGTTATTTTAGTTACTATAGGCTTGTAACATATTTTGAAGTAAGATAGTGTGATGCCTCTAGCTTTGTTCTTTTTACTCAGGATTGCTTTAGCTATTTGAGCTCTTTTTTGGTTGCGTGAAACGTTTAGAATTGTTTTTTCTATTTCTGTGAAAAATATTATTGGTATTTTTATACGGATTGCATTGAATGTGTAAATTGTGTTAGGTTGTAAGGTCATTTGAACAATATTAACTCTTTCAATCCATGAGCATGGGATGTCTTTCCATTTGTTGTGTCCTCTTCAATTTCCTTCATCAGTGTTTTGCAGTTTTCCTTGCAGAGATCTTTCATTTCCTTGGTTAAATTTATTCCTAGGTATTTTAAATGTTTTTGTAACTATTGTAAATGGGATTCCCTTTTTAAATTTATTTCTCAGTTACCTCATTATTAGTGTATAGAAATGCTATCATTTTTGTTTGTGAATTTTGTATCCTTCAACTTTACTGAACTTGTTTATAAAATCTAAAAGTTTTTTGGTGGGCTCTTTAAGCTTCTCTAAATATAAAATGGTGTCATCTGTAAAAGGGGACAATTTAACTTCTGTTTTCAAATTTGGATGCCTTTTATTTCTTTCACTTGCCTGATTGCACCAATTAGGACTCCCAGTACTATGTTGAATAGGAGTGGTGAAAGTTGTCATTCTTGTCTAGTTCCAGTTCTTAGAGGAAAGGCTTTCAGCTTTATCTCATTCACTTTGATGTCAGCTGTGGGTTTGTCATATATGGCCTTGATTATGTTGATGTATGTTTCTTTTCTGCCTAGTTTGTTGAAAGGTTTTATCATCAATAGATGTTGATTTTATTAAACGCCTTTTCTGCATCTATTGAGATAATCATATGATTTTGTTCTTTATTCTGTTGATGTGATGTATCATGTTTATTCATTTGCATATGTTGACCCATCCTTGCATCCCTGGGATGACTACCACATGATCATAGTATATTATCTTTTTGATGTGCTGTTGGATTCAGTTTGTTAGTATTTTGTTGAAGACTTTTGTGACTATGTTCATCAGAAATATTGGCCCAATGTTTCCTTTTTTTATTTTTGTCCTTGTCTGGTTTTAGTATCAGAGTAATGCTGGCTTCATAGAATGAGTTAGAAATAATTTCCTTCTCTTCTATTTGTCAGAATAGTTTGAGGAGAATTGGTATTAGTTCTTCTTTATAAGTTTGATAGAATTTGGAAGTGAAGGTGTCAGGTCTTGTGCTTTTCTTTCTAGGAGACTTTATTATTGATTCAATAGCATTACTTGATATTAGTCTGTTCAGGTTTTCTATTTCTTTCTGATTCAGTCTTGGTAGGTTTTATGTGTCTAGGAACTTATCCATTTCCCATAGGTTTTCCATTTTATTAGTGTATAGTTCATAGTAATCTCTGATGATCTCTTGTATTTCTGTAATGTCAGTTTTAACATAATATTTTGAAATATGCATACATTGTGGAATGGCTAGATTGACCTAATTAACATATGCATTATCTCAGATACTTTCCTTTTTTTGGTGAGAACACTTAAAATCTACTCTTTCTCAATTTTCAAATATGAAATATATTGTCATTAATTATAGTCACCATATTGTACAATAGAGCTCTTGGGTTAATTTCTTCTAACAGAAATTTTGTATCCTTTGTCCAGCATCTCCCCAATCCCATTCACACCCCAACCCCCAGCCCCTGGTAACTTCCATTTTACTCTATGCTTCTATGAGTTCAACTTTTTAGATTCCACCTACATACATTCCACAAGTGAGATCATGTGGTATTCGTGTTTCTGTAACTTCATTAACTTAAAAACTATATTCAGTGCCTCCTTTATTCCAGGCCTTATGCTAGACCCTAAAAACACAAGTTTATGTAATACATAGCCATTTCATACAGGACCTCATGATCAATTGAAAGTGCTAATGATGTTAATACATAAATCAAATATACTATTTCATATGCTATAAGAGTGTTTTTGGTTAAATATATCTTTAGCAATTTTGTCAAATATAATGGCCAAAAGTGTGTATCAATGATTTTTTAAAATCTTATAAGAAGAAAATGTGATATTTTTTCTTATTCATTGTCCCACATGAATTATATACACAGATTTGAAAGATTAGGCCAAATTCAGTTATCACAGGCTCATCAGAAATAGATGAAGGAGAAACAAGTCTTCCCAAGGAAAGAAGTAAGTACCCCAAGGTATGTTGAAACCGATGGGAATGAATCATTGCCCAGCCTATGAGGGACAGGATGGGCTCACAGAGGCCTATAGCTCTTTGGGCTTGGCAGAAGTAGCTAACAACTCAGGGAAACTGGATCAAAGAGATGCTGGAAACCAGGTAAGCAGGAGTAGGAAAAATGGGGAAAGTGGTCATTTTTCCTTGAGGCATTTCTAATTATCTGGTCTCCAATTCTATGCATCTGCTGTCTTCTTTTTTAAGTCTATATCTGCCTCTATTTCTCCCTTCTGCAATACCTAATCCCCTGTCAAATATCCACGACATGTGAACTTAACTATGTTTACATTAGTTTGAAAAAAATACACTCCTGTATTCCTCTGTTATTTTGTTATGCATGACGGCTGGGTGCAGTGGCTCATGCCTGTAATCCCAGCACTTTGGGAGGCTGAGGCGCAAGGATCACTTGAGGTCAGGAGTTCGAGACCAGCCTGGCCAACGTGGTGAAACCTCGCCTTTACTGAAAATACTAAAAATTAGCCTGATGTGATAGCACGCGCCTGTAATCCCAGCTACTCGGGAGGCTGAGGCAGGAGAATTGCTTGAGCCTGGGAGGCAGAGGTTACAGTGAGCCAACATCGTGCCACTGCACTCCAGAATGGGTGACAGATCAAGACTCCATCTCAAAATAAATTTTAAAAAATGCGTGAAATGTATTATGTATTTCTTTGTCCTTAAAAAATGTTATTTCTTTTTACTTAAGTATTTTTTCCTAAGGTAGTTTTTGGTTTAACATTTTTTTTCACTCCTGCCATATCCATGAGTCTTAAATTAAGTAATAATGAATCTACTATGCCATAACTTTCTTTTACAATATGAATATTTTAGCTCTTGAGATTTTTCTTCCTGGAGTATACCATATTCCACCAAAGGAGATATTTTTAACTAGCATCTCAGGAAAGCTTTCAGCAGAACCCAATTATTTTCTGACCACCCTTTCTTGTTCCTCTTAACCTGCAACAATTTAATTCTTGCCCTGAGTGATTACTCAATAATTATTTTGTGGGAGACTGAAAAGATTGCCTGGGGCCCCTCCACCTTCAAGTCTGGCCCTGTCTCCAACATAGGGTGCGGGGTGAGGGAGGGGGTGAGCTGAATGTGCTCTTGGTGACTCGGGGGTTAGTTAGCTGGAGGTGTCAGAGGTGTGAAACAGTATTTAAAGGTAAGTGTTGGGAAGAGGCATTCCTGAATCAATTAGAAGTGTGTAAAATATATGCCATCCTTTGCAGTAGATCATGGAAGATGAAAAGTGTTTCAGCAGCATTAAAGAATGATTTATCTTTTAAAAGGATAGTTCACAGACAAACATGTGTCTAAACATAACCTTGTGCCTTGAATGGGCCAAAGTTACTCCAATCATTATCAGCACTCTCCTTACTTTCCAACATTTTTATCCTTTTTTTTCTTTTTTTATATATATTTTTTCTTTTTATTATACTTTAAGTTTTAGGGTACATGTGCACAATGTTCAGGTTTGTTACAAATATATACATGTGCCATGTTGGTGCGCTGCACCCATTAACTCGTCATTTAACATTAGGTATATCTCCTAATGCTATCCCTCCCCCTTCCCCCCATCCCACAACAGGCCCCGGTGTGTGACGTTCCCCTTCCTGTGTCCATGTGTTCTCATTGTTCAATTCCCACCTATGAGTGAGAACATGCAGTGTTTGGTTTTTGTCCTTGCGATAGTTTGCTGAGAATGATGGTTTCCAGCTTCATCCATGTCCCTACAAAGGACATCAACTCATCATTTTTTATGGCTGCATAGTATTCCATGGTGTATATGTGCCACATTTTCTTAATCCAGTCTATCATTGTTGGACATTTGGCTTGGTTCCAAGTCTTTGCTCTTGTGAATAGTGCCACAATAAACATACATGTGCATGTGTCTTTATAGCAGCATGGTTTATAATCCTTTGGGTATATACCCAGTAATGGGATGGGGATGGCTGGGTCAAATGGTATTTCTAGTTCTAGGTCCCTGAGGAATCGCCACACTGACTTCCACAATGGTTGAACTAGTTTACAGTCCAACCAACTGTGTAAAAGTGTTCCTATTTCTCCACATCCTCTCCAGCACCTGTTGTTTCCTGACTTTTTAATGATCGCCATTCTAGCTGGTGTGTGATGGTATCTCATTGTGGTTTTGACATGCATTTCTCTGATGGCCAGTGGTGATGAGCATTTTTTCATGTGTCTTTCAGCTGCATAAATGTCTTCGTTTGAGAAGTGTCTGTTCATATCCTTCGCCCACTTGTTGATGGGGTTGTTTGTTTTTTTCTTGTAAATTTGTTTGAGTTCATTGTAGATTCTGGATATTAGCCCTTTGTCAGATGAGTAGATTGCAAAAATTTTCTCCCATTCTGTATGTTGCCTGCTCACTCTGATGGTAGTTTCTTTTGCTGTGCAGAAGCTCTTTAGTTTAATTAGATCCCATTTGTCAATTTTGGCTTTTGTTGCCATTGCTTTTGGTGTTTTAGACATGAAGTCCTTGCCTATGCCTATGTCCTCAAATCCATGTGGTTTTCTGTTTCTATGTCATACAAACTGAGATGACTCTGGAATGAAATTATGTAGTGTTTAAAAATAATATTATGTCGTGTCCAGAAAATGAAGACAGCAAAAATTACAGTTATCTATCCATGAACTAAAAAGGTGCTCAATTAGAACAAAATGGCAATTGCGGCTTCCAGAACTAGGGTACTTCTTAAATACAAGGGCTGTATTAATGATTTTGACAAGCAATCTAATAACATCATTGGAGTTAGGAAAATCAACATAAATCTCATTACAAAGGGCTAAAAATATTTTGGATGCACATTACTTGATGGAGGATATTTTCAAGCAGACTGGTGGTGAGCCCTTAGGAAACAGAATAGCAAAAGGGTAGATAGAAGATCCACAAGAAAAGTGAAGAAACTACAGAAAAGCAGATAAAGGATTAG